>NC_000006.12:120828365-121131396 GCF_000001405.40 Homo sapiens
AAACCTGCTGAACTATCCCACAGTGATGGTACATTCATAAATTCCTTTCTGCAGTTTCATTAATTTAATTTATGCTAAAAGTATTTTATTAGGTATATATATGTTTACAATTGTTATAGTTTCTAAGTGAATTGAATCTTTTTTTTCCAGTGACTTATTTATTTATATATTTTTACTAATTCTTTGTCTTTGTTAGCTTTTTTAACTTAACCAAACAAACAAAATCTAAGTCACATAGCTTTCTTTGGGTTTGTATTTTCCGGGTCAACATTTTTGTTTTCTCTTTTACTTTTTAAACTTTTTCCTTTATGGCTTACATGAGGAAGCCAAGGCAAATCTGAAAGGGGCACTTATCAGTCAAGGTCACCAAACTAGCAAGATACAGAACCAGAACTCAAAATCAGGTCACCTATTCAAAATGTCCTATTGTGAAGGATAAGCACAGACATTGACTCAATGCCTTCCACGTCTGTGCCAAGTACTGTACCAAGAGCTTTATATGCCTTATCTCCGCTATTTCTATTAAACTCTAGTGCCTCTTCAGGTCATATATGACATAGTATGCCAGGAATGTTCTAATATATATTAAATAATAAAAAGAATAACAAGGGAATCATTTGAAGGTATTTTCTTTTTTATACTAGATAAATGGTGCACTATGAAAGCAGAACAGCTTTGAAATTGAAGGAAAAATTAATGGTTTTAAATCTAGGTTAGATGTGCACATGATTTCTTCCCTTTCCAGCTGTTGTTAATGAACGCTTCAGGTCAGCCTGTCTGCACTTTGGCTCCTCTTAGATGGAAGTAACATGTATATGTTGCTATTTTTGAAACCTCAAAGGGTGGTAGGCACAGTCTCCTGATGTGAAACTCATCAGAAATGAACGCCTTTATTTAACCTACAATCTCACCATTTATGAAACTGCTGGTTTGATATCAGAGCCTCAAGTGATACTTCTCAGGAACCTGCTCCAAAGGCCAGATCCCGTGGAAGTAGAAGGGCTCTTTACTTTTTTCTTTCTTTCTTTTTTGAATTCTCTGTTTAGATTAAACCTGATTGTAATTGCAAGATGCCCAAGTCTTTTAGATTGACTCTTTTCAACAGTTACACAGAATACCACAGCTCAGGGTCCCTTTGAATAACTTTGACACTTATTTACCTTGACTTTCTGTTTGCAGCCTCTCAAGCCTAGTTTTGATCGGTCCTACTGCGAAAAGAAGAAAGGGGAAAAATTCTGTGCTGCAGAAGAGAATTGCGTCCCTGTTTAGTTTAGCTTGTTTCTCTCTGGAAAACAGTCATCACATTTATTTTTTAATGGCACAGCAGGTGTTACCTCACATGGCTACTGGGTGACAAGCTCCCGGTACAGGCCCATTGTACCCCAGAACCTGAGACTTCACCTGCCCAAGGCAAGGAGGCTACAGGGGTTTTTTTGCTAGCTCATCACTGAGGTTGTTTTGTTAGGATTCTACTTTGACCTTGCTAACTCATTCATTTATTCAATAGACTTTATTTATTCAGCACCTTCTATGGGCTAAGTACTGATCACAATCTACTAAGAAGACAAGGAATAGTAATGATTAAAAAAATAGACGGGCATAATATCATAGGCAACACTAGGAAATTTAAAACACACAGTGAATCCTCTAAGTTTCTCCCTAATATATCAGTTCCCATATATATGAATATCCCCTAATATATGAGTTTCCTTCCTATTATTGTTCATGCTCATTTCTGGTACCCCCATTGCAGAAATTGCACTACCAATTTTTGCATGTCCCCATGTACCTTGCTGGACCTGAACTGATATTCTCCATCACCCTTACTCTAAAATGTTCTTGACAGTAATCTCTATTAGGGGAACAACCAAGTCTGTCTTTTTTAACATAGTCCTCAGCAGTTAGCAAAGTACCTAGTACATAGTTACATGTTTAATAAATATCTACCAAGTATATAAATTAAAGGACAATCTTGCAACTGGTATGAACCATTGCTAGGTATTCAAAACCCATCTATTTCCCAGCCCACGCCTCCATGTCTGCAAGTCACAAATCTCCATTCTGGCTCACATACTCATGTGGCCACAACTGGAACACCATTCCCTGACACACTTCCTCCTTTCCACTCTCTGAATCAATGGCTCCTCTGGGATACCCATATCTTTCCTTCCTTGGTTTGCTCCATCCTGCTGTTATCCCATTTCTGACTCTTACAGCTTTACCTGACTCTGACATCTTCCTTAAAGATTCAAAGCTATAAGAACACAAAGCCTGCTATGGAAGATAGCCAGATCTTCTGGGAAGAAAATAGCATACTCGTGGGTATTTGACAGCGATGCCTTCGTAAATAATAAGTTATTTGACATTCAAGACTATTTAAGGAGGTGTGTGTGTGTGGAAGAAGAGTCAGCTGCCAGGGAGGTTGAATTAGTACAAAGGTCACGGTTGTGCTGCACATATTTTTGTAAGATACCATATCTAATTGTAAGGCAGTTAGATTGTGCTTATTTCAGACTGTCGGGGTTTTTGGTTTAATGAGACAGTGCATTGCGTCTTCACAGATCGCTGACCATTGTTTGAAGCATTGTGATGATAACTGCATTTAAAGTTATTGAGCTTGGGTTTAAATAAATTACACAGAGGTCAAAGAACATGTATTTGGTGTTCCATAAAGAAGCAGAACCAGTGAATCACAGCTTCTGACGGAAAATAAAATCTTTATTTTAAAAATCACACCCCACATCTCTCTCCTAGGAGTTTTTTAGACATTCCATATTTTGGAGTGTGTAAATGACTCCCTGAAATTTCTCTATAGGTTATGTAACACATTTGCAGATGTCTTATGTAACTAGATTAAAACTAAGTAACATGCACTAAAACTCAGCTGGTTATGTACTTTGAACTTATGGCTAAACAATGAGTTTTGAATTTATTTTCAAATAGATGGAGAGGGAAGCCTTTTTTGAAACAAACACACATGTTGTTGGTTTCTGTGGATTTTATAAAAATTCTGTAGTTTTGTGGAAAGCATTAGTGTCATTTTTGTAAACTTTGTTTTGGTATCTTCTCAATTTTGATAGTAAGCACATTTAAAATAAATACAGATTTTATATTCAGATAAAATAATATATTAGATAATAAATTTCAATAAACAGTACTTTAATGAAAGAAAAATAGATAAGCGGGTAAGTGAACTCAAGCTATTTGCCAGAGTTTATTTTAAGGGCTTCCATATATTATCATATCTACTCTGTGCCACAACTTTATTGTACATGGGCTACCATCCCTATTTCAAATATGAGGGAACTGAAGCACAAAGAAATTAAGCAACATGCCTCAAATTATACAGCTAATAAAAGAGAGTTCCATGATTTAAATTACAAAATGTATACCACTACTTTATTCCATTGTCTAAATTTTCAAGTTTTACTTAACATTACATTTAGGAAATACTTAGATATATCCACTTAAACGAGATATAATACAATTATTTACAGTAATACAAATACTCTAATAATCAATGGCACAATATAGTCTTTTATTTTACAGGATAAAGAATATATAGGCTGGCCATGGTGGCTCACACCTGTAATCCCAGTATTTGGAGAGGCCAAGGTGAGAGAATCACTTGAACCCAGGAGTTTGAGAACAGCCTGAGCAACACGGCGAGACCCTGTCTCTACAAAAATTTAAAGATTAGTCAGGCATAGTAGTGTATGCCTGTGGTCTCAGCTACTCAGGAGGCTGAGGGGAAAGGGTCTCTTGAGCTCAGGAGGTAAAGGCTACAGTGAGCTGTGTTAATACCACTGTACTCCAACCTGGGTGATAGGATGAGACCTTGTCTCGTTAAAAAAAAAAAAAAATCTATATATACAACAGGCTTAACAAAATGTTACATACAAATTTGTGGCAGATTCTGTAAATTATTTCATTAAAAATCTGTTTCAATTCCTTTTCCCCGTGTCCTCTATAATACAACTGGCTAAAACATTAAAATACTTAACTTCATGGTGTCCTCTTCTGGTAGAAATAGTCATGTGATTCAGTTCTTGCCAAAGAAACATAAGCACAAGTGTGAGGGTTCTGCAGTTTCTGCACCCTTTACCTTCTTGCCTGGGAGAGAGGCATGAGACAGAGTTGCAGCCATCACCACCAAGAACAGTAGCCCTGTGAGTGAGAAGGGGCTTACTTCCAAAATGGCATTGGTGAACTCTACCTACCATATAGAGGGCTACCCTACACCTCTGGATCCATAATATAAATAAACTTCTATATCTTTAGAGGGATGGAATTGAAATAATAAGACAAGTGTCATCTATTGTTTTATGTATTCTATATAGCATCTTAAGGACATGGGTTAAAAGATTTCTTTTTCTTTAATGGGCAGAAATGTAAAAAATTCAAACAATAGTATGACCCAGTCTTTCAGTATGTGTCTCAGTTCAAGGGTCTGGACAGTCTTAAGTCTCTGAAGAATATTAGATTGCTAGGAAGACAGTTAAAAAATCAGATATATTTCTACCTGGGGAGTTAGAAAGAAAAATATTTTTGTATTGTTTCTAAGTGCTTTTCATAATAAAAAAGTAGCTACGTTGATAATAGATTACCTTTGATTATTAATTACAGCTTATATTAAAAATATGCATGATTACTAAAAAGTCTAGAAGATAACACTGCTCTAACCACATTAATCAATAAGAGATTATTGGTTAAGGATTAATCTAATACTTTGGATAGCTAGATTTTAACTGAAAGATATAAGTAAAATATTAAGTCTACTGCTATCTACTTTGAATGTACTTTTAAAAATCTGTATGATTCAAGAATATTCTCTATTGCTGTTATTGATTATTAATAAGAACCATGTCACTAACTCCATATCTTACTCTTTTCCATTTCATATAAAAACAAAAAAATAGCTAGAGTAGCAGCCTGTGTTCTTCTTGGCTTGCCTTTCCTGGAAAGGAACCTCCACTATATAAGTAAATGAAGGTGAGAGCAATAGGGCACCAGTGTTCTTGGCTTTCTCAGCCTGGAGTAGCACTTCAACCCTACATGTGGGAGCTGGATAGAGAAAGAAAGTCCTAAACCTCTCAGTCATTCATGCATGGAATAGAGCCTCTGAAACACAGAGATAAAAGCTTCAGAAATACTAATGGCCAGTTCCTCCTCAAGAGATACTGAATCCTTCTACTGGGAGCCAGAGTGAAGTGTAGCATGTATTCAGGGGGAGAGGGAGCCCTGTGTTCTTGGCTGCAACCTGAAGTGGAGTTCCTACCATGTGGAACTGAGATATGGAAGGGAGGAAATAGCTGTTATGGCTCAAATCCCACAGATTCTTGCTGTTCATAGTGAGATATAGTAGAGACTTTAAATGATTGTTTATGTATATATAATTTTCAGCAGTTATGGTTGTCTCACTAGGAAGAAGGTCCATGGAGTTCCTCACTTCATCATTCTGGAGGTCCTATTCTTAGTCTTAAGTCATGGGCCTGGCCCCTGGTTTTCTCTGCTTTCCAGATGTAAGAGATGAAAGCCTCTATATAAGTACTAAGGAGGCCATCTGGCTTTCACATTTGACTTGTAATTGCCTTTTAATTGTTCTAAGCCTTTCTTTATATTTTTTAGGATTTCCATCAAGCTCAGCAATAGACATCCAATTCCATATTCCTATTTTCCCTATACTTTTTAAAAACCTGATAATATCACCAGCAAATGCAACCTCTTCCATTGGAATATCATTCTAATTAATACCAGTGAAAGTTTTAATAATTGAACTGCCACTTTGTATTAGGATCTATCTGTGCTTTACGAATCACCAGTGATGAGGTTCACTCTGCTAGCTGAGTGATTAGAAGATGATCTAACACAATGTTCAGGACTCTATTATGAAAATCCTTGGGGATTATACCTGTGGAAAGGATATGATGGAGAAGAGTGAGGCAGAGGGATAAACTCAGCTGAAATGGTCTCAGTCAACCCCAAGGTGAGTTATGAAGCTGAAATGTCCATTAGAATTGCCTTTCAATGGGCTAAAATATCCAGCCTTTATACTACTACTTTGTTCATCAATGCATGTGGGCCATGCCTGAAAGGGCATGACATTGGGTGAAGAGACTCCCTGCAGCTAAGGCAAATTCATAAAGGGGTTGGCATTTGGAAGCTTTCAACCACTAGGCCTTCCAGCAGCTGAGATAACAAATCCTTCATTGAAGGTAAATCAAAGTGATACATGACCACATCCAGTTCTAACCTAGTTCCAAAGATTTGGGAGCTTCAAGACTCTCTAGAATTTGGACTTTATATAAGCATTGAACTAATTCACGAACTTACCTTTGAAGATTCTATCCCTCTGTATTGGCCTCAGTATATTAAAGGGCTTGGGAGTAATATGCAAGTAATTCTTGTGTACATCTTAGAAGTGGCAAGACTTCTCACACAAGTGTACTCTGTACACTAGCCAGGGAGAACTCTATTTCCCTTTGCCAACTCCAACCTGAGTTTTCATTCCAAATTCACTGTTGATACAGACCTATGTTTTACTTTAGGATTCAAAGTTTCAATAAACCTCATGTAGCTCAACCCCATATTCAAGATCTATCTTTTCCATCAATTGAATCCATTGCCACAATTATAACAAATTATTGGAGGGAAAAACAGAATCAAATGCAGGTCTTCAAATATGACCTGGATATTGAGCCCAAATATTAAGCATTTTAATAGAAATAGAGTTAGTTTCATAGTTTAGGTTTGAGGAAAAATAAAAGAAATAGATATACTCTCTCTAAATTTATTATTCTTTCTGAGTGATTTACATTTAATATGTAAGTTAGATAAAATTTTCTTTTTATTAATAATATGACAATAATTTCAGAGAAGATGTCTCATTTTTTCTCAACATATTCTTTTAATCTACCTACACATTCACTAAATGAAAGTTGTGTCTTAGCCTGCCAAATACAGTCATTGTCTTTCGGATTCCTTGAGCACAACTTTGTATAAGCTGTAATGTTGGCATCATCTGGTTAACCTCCAGTGTGGAATCTAAGGTTCCAAAGAGTTCACTTAGCAACTTTAAGGCAAAACAAAGACTGGAAACCAGGCATTTGGATTGCAGTTTCTGTAGACTTTTTGTTCACTTGCCTCAAAAAGTCTAAAATTCTCACTTTCATCTTTAATCATAATTGTAGTTCCTTTTCAAACTTGTGTATAATATCCCAGACTCCTGTGTGAAGCAGTTTTATTATTTGTTTCTTGGAAAAATATATAAAAACTAAAATAACTATCTATCAAAAAATAAAATCCTTACTATTTCCCTTGAAGCTATTATTCTATTATAAAATAGTAGTTAAGTATTTACTCTAAATGAGGTTCTGTTCAAGAGATGGGAACAAAATATCCCTTACCGTCTAATTGCTGAAGCAAATGAGTGAATGCATAATTATGGTGTAGCATGTTAGATCCTTTACAGGAGAAAATTTCAATATGTCGCAGAGATCCATAGGCTGAAGAACAAAAATTAGGAAAAAGCTTTCCACAAGAAACAACATTTAAGCTACAACTTAAATGATGGAGAGAGGTTTACTTAGAGGGTTGGGAAGGATACACCATGCATGAAACTTAGCACAAATGTGAAACTGTACTTGCTTTAAGAAGGAAGGTAGGAGATCACAAAGACAAATAAGTCTTATGATTACTTACTAATTATCTAAGATGACATGGACATCTTATCATACTTTATCAAAAAGGATATTGAAGGCTAAAAGATACAACACATTACCAATAGCTTCACAGTTTAGTATAAGTTAGAGATGGTACTAGAAAGGAATGGAGAAGATAGGAATGGTGCAACTGTGTAAAATGTGACCTGAAAGGAATCTAAAGACTCACTTGCCAAGGACTGTCTACCTCACTGAGCTGCCACAGGGCTCCTGGATGCAACTTCAAAACAAAGCCCTAATAGGTTAATGTATTTTCATCAATGAAGAATGATGACTTTACTAGAGCAACAGAAAAAAAGACTGTCTGAGCCCAAAGGAAAGGAACAGAGAGGATGGCTGAGGCTGAGTAGGGTGAATCTCAGAGGATACCTGTAGAAGGACAGGAAAGTCCCTTGATCATTAGGGATGGGGGGCACCAAAAGGGAATAAAGTCTATCCAAATTATTTGGCAGGGTTTAGTCCCTGTAAGTAATTATGGAAAGAAATGGGTGCAAAGTGGTTGGTTTGCATTTGTTAATAAAGAAAAATTTAAGGGCAGACAAGGATTTCCTATTTCCTTGGGTAACGCATTAAAGCATAAATAAAAATATCTGCTTTCCAACAGATGGTGTTTTTTTTAGGAAAAGAGCAAGATTAGGAGAATGCTAAAAGCAGCCATATCTTATTTTTGTGTAACATTTCTGGTTTTATGGCATAAAATAAGATAGACCCCTACATTTTGAAATAAAGAAGGAAAAAATGTAAATTATACAGCTGACCCTGCAAAATCACAAAAGGAAAAATGAGTCTTTAACTGAAAAAGGTTTGTTAAGGTTGGGAGCTGGCCAAACCATCTTCTCCTAGATGATTTACAGTCAGTAAAAGGTTATCTGCAATTCTAAAATTGCAGAGCTCTGTTTTCTAATCTGAATAAGAAGTAAACTTTGTCATAAGTTTTGGAAGAAAATCACTGTTTTAGATTAAGGCTTCTCATTTATATTCACAATCCTGTGGTTGATGAAGCTTAGTGGCTAGAAAACTGGAATGGTAAGAATAATAAATGATAGCTCATTAAGCAATTTATCCATGTTAGGTGTTATTCCAAGTTCTTTAGTTATACATTTTTTCACTGTATCCTCCTAACAAGACTATGAACTAGAATTATTATTATCCCAAACTTACAGATGGGATGCATTGGGCAGGTGTCTCCTACTCAACAACATACAGTAAGTGGCAGAACAGGACAAGAACCCAGAAGGCAGATGCAGCCTATTCTCCGACTGCCAGTTAAGTAGAGATTTCTTCTTTTTCTGCTGCATTATGATGTCACAAGAAACACAGCAAAAGCTGTAATCGGGGTTAGGGTATATTAGCTAGGACATTTGGGTGGAACTAGACATCAAGAAACCTGGGTACATGACCTTGTTCTGACCCTGAAGTGCCATATTCTTTTTGGGCATGTTCTTCCAATCCTCTGTCATTAGGTTTCTCATCTGTGCTAAAAATAAAAGATGTAATAATCTTTACAATACTAATGGTTCAGAATTTTGGAATGATACTAGTTAAACTTAACTACTCACAAGACTCTTAGCTTTCAGAGCTCAAAGTCAGGTATGTGTCTGTCATTCATGATTTTCCCACTCTTTTCTGACATACCTCAAGTAATCACAGAGAACCATGTGTTATTGGCACTGAATTGCAGCTTGCCTTCAGTCTTTTTATTCCTTTACAACTGGGTCAGGTTTAGCTCAGTGTGATTGCATCTAGTGTCATAGCAGATACCATGTTTTCTCTGATAGTGTTTTCTGAAGTAAGATGTATCCCCAACATACAAGATCTTCAATGAAAACACAGTGAATTGTGCTACCCTTTGACAGCTTTAGTAGAATCATGAAATTAAAAACAAATCATTCAACCAAGGATTTCTAGGGGGTTTGCAGAGTATTCCAGGGCTATTCTTATGTTTGGGCTATTAATGCCATAGGAACAGGGAAATAATGGAGGACTCTTGAAGGAAAGTAGTTCTATATTCCTCAAGGAAGCACACAGATTTCATAGGCTGGGCTTGAGCAGCTACTAATTAACCATGGCCCCAGCAAATATACACACATATCATTAGAAAAAGTATCAGTGGATATAGTATATACCATATCCATATCTATATACATGCATGCTATATATATATTTTGTATATAAACCAAATATGTAGAACTGTTCATTGATAACCATGTTTTAAATCTATTCAATCACCAGCCTGAAGGTCTCCCTTTTTTCAATAGGAACAGTTGTTTGTAAGATGTATAATTTGGTTATGGAAGTTGCAATTATTTTTCATGTGTGTTTTTTCTTGGAGTTCAGGTCACCTGTCTTCTTTATAATATAGGCCAATTCCTGTGAGGATTTGTTTGGTGCCTGAGGGGAAAGAACCCTTTATGCTTTTCTTTCTGGGCACTTCACACCAGGCTTTCCCTTAGAGTTTTTATGCATTTTGCTTTGAGCTTTCCCTCAGAACTAGTGACTCCCAGATATAATCTCCAAATTCTTATTCCAGATACAGTTTGCATTCAGTAGCTGCCTGTGGTTATGTTTCTCCACATGTTGGTTGTTCTTGGGCTTTCTTATTGTTGTTTGCTTTCAGGTACTCATCAGAACAGAAATGTTACAGCTGCTTCTGAGATGCTGCAGCAAGCATGGCTTGGGGCTAAAATGTGACAGACTTGTATTGACTTCCTGTCACCTAAGATTTCATTTATAGCTAGTGGCAGCCTCCAAGGCCTCTGGCTTCCCTCTTGTATTCATATGAATTAATGCAACATCAGCCCCCCAAATGTAAATACTAAAGTTTTGAAACCCAGGTTTAAGTTACTAGAAAAGCTTCTCCTTTAGCATCATCACAGAAATTAATTGACAAATGATAGCATTTCTGTAGCAACAGAAGTAAAATTCTGGGTATATATACAGTATGTTGGCAACACAAATTCGTTCATTCCTACCATCAGACATGGCTCTAAAATGTTTAATGTCTCCTTCTCTACCTATCTTAGACCCAGCTTACTTCTTATCATGATGACTATGACCTCTTACTAAACAAATTCAGCCATATTGATTGCTTTGCCTACTGGATTCTGAAAGTACTCAATATTTCAGTCCTATAGCTTTACCCTCAGTTATAATATTATATATATATATACATTGTTTTATACTTAAACAGTGTTACATGTATGGATTCTTTCCCTAGTGAGAGTAAGAGTGTGAAAGTAAGTACTATACCTTCTACCTCTTCAGTATCCTCTATATTATCTTGCATGGATCTAGGAAATGTAGAAAACACTCACTGGTTCAGGAATTTTATCTGATTGGAACACTTTAATAATTTTTCACACCCAGAATCAGTGAGAATGTAGAAAAGAAGAAACTCATAAATTTGGTGTTAATGTAAATTGTTGCAACTTTCATAAGGCATTTTGACATTAGCTGTCAACATTTTTAAGTATGAATATATTTGAATCAGGAATTTCAGTTCAAGAAATCTAGTCTATGAATATTATCACAAGCAAATAAAGATACATTAGGGCATTTTGTACTAACATTATTTATATTAGCAATAAAAGTGGTGTCAAACATTGATCAGTATGAGATTGGTTAAATAATGGCATATCAATACCAGAGACCATGAAGCAATGCCTCAAAAAAGTAGACCTCAATATCTAATCAAAAGAAAGTTTCTGCAATAGCATTAACAATAACCAAAACCACAAATAGACAACAAACCAAAAAACATTTAAAAAAAAACTATGTTGCAGAATATAATGTATAGAACAGCCCATTCTGGTAGCACAAACATACCACATGTGCCAACTGTGGGTATGCATACCAACTGGAGAAGGAAAAAGGAGTCATTTTCACTTTGACTAATATTTTGCATAAATTTATTTAATTAATAACTTATTTGAATGCCTGTTATGTTCCAGATACTGTGCTACATGAGGATTTCATTTTAATGCTTTCAATCGTATTTCTTTAGTCACTTAAAAATATTTGTTTTTTCTTTAAATACATATTTTTAACAATAAATATTATCATGGTTCATCACAAAATTTATGTTTTTAAGAGTAGTGAAATTTGTTTAGATAGGTCACTCAAGAAAAATGGCAAGATTATGTTCTAAACAAGTCAGTGCTGTAACCATGTATAATTTAAGCTTATCAAAACTGCATTATGTGAAAATCCCTAAAACAAATTCCTGTATGTGCATACGGCATACATATAGCTGCATATCACGTTTTTGTTGTTGTTGTTGTTTGTTTGTTTTTGTTTTTGTTTTGAGACGGAGTCTCGCTCTGTCGCCCAGGCTGGAGTGCAATGGCACTATCTCTGCTCACTGCAAGCTCCGCCTCCCGTGTTCAAGCATTCTCCTGCCTCAGCCTCCCGAGTAGCTGGGACTACAGGCGCCTGCCATCATGCCTGGCTAATTTTTTGTATTTTTAGTAGAGACGGGGTTTCACCGTGTTAGCCAGGATGGTCTCGATCTCCTGACATCGTGATCCACCCGCCTCGGCCTCCCAAAGTGCTGGGATTACAGGCGTGAGCCACCGCGCGCAGCCATATCACGTTTTTAATAGGAAGTACTGAAAGAAGTGTGGTTTTTTTAGATAGACCACAATGAAAAAGGAAATAATTGCCTTAAAAGTTGTCTCACAGTTCTGAGAATGACATGAAACCATAGCACCTCCAATTGGACATGACTTGAGGCATCACCTTGTCATCTACCTCTCTAAAGGAGACTTTGAGAGAGATTGAGAGGGAATCTGTTTTGTTTGTTTGTTTGTTTGTTTGTTTTGCATTTTCCAGGTTTTAGAGGATACTTACATTTCTTGGCTCATGACCCCTTCCTTCACTTTCAAAGTTAGTCATGATTGGTCAAGTCTTTCTCATACTGCACCACTCTGACACTTCGTGTTTGTAGTCAAATAGTCCCTCTCCTTTCCTCTAATAACCATTGTGATTACATTGGGCCTATCCGGATAATACAGGCTAATCTCCCTGTGATGGTTAATATCGAGTATCAACTTGATTGGATTGAAGAATGCAAAGTATTGTTCCTGGGTATGTCTGTGAGGGTACTGCCAAAGGAGATTAACATTTGAGTCAGTGGACTGGGAGAGACAGGCTCACCCTCAATCTGGGTGGGCACCACCTAATCAGCTGCCAGAGTGGCTAGAATAAAGCAGGCAGGAAAAGATGGAAGAGCAGACTTGCTGAGCCTTTCATCCTTCACCTTTCTAGCATGCTGGATGCCTCCTGCTCTTGAACATCAGACTTCAAGTTCTTCAGCTGTTGGACTTTCGGACTTACCCCAGTGGTTTGCTTGCCACAGACTGAAGGCTGCACTGTTGCTTCCCTACTTTTGAGGTTTTGGGACTCGAACTGATCCACCACTGTCTTCCTTGCTGCTCAACTTGCAGACGGCCTATCGTGGGACTTTACCTTGTGACTGTGTGAGTCAATTCTCTTTAATAAACTCCCTTTAATATGTACATCTATCCTATTAGTTCTGTCCCTCTAGAGAACCCTGACTAATACACTCCTCATCTCAAGATCCTAAATATAGTCACATCTTCAAGGTCCTTTTTACTGCATACAGTAACATAGTCACAAGGTTCTGGAGATTTGGATGTTGACATCTTTGTGGGGCCATTATTCAGCTGGCTACAACTAGTAAATAAATTCAGGCCAGTTTGAATAAATTCTCAAGATTTCTGTTTCAATAGCAATGAATTGGAAACAGGCTACATCACTGAAAATGCGTAGCATAATTCATCTGTTACTGAGTGGGGTGGTGTGCTAGCAGAAAAGAACATGGAGTGACAGGACACTTTCATTGCCCTTAAAGAGCTCCAGGAGACAGACAGACAAATATTTACAGTATGATGTATTGCAGTGAAAAGCAAAAGAGATTTGATTAGGGAAAGCTTCGGAGAATAGACAACCCTTACAGGAGCAAGGATTAAAGTAATATAGAGTCGTCAGGAAGGTAAAGCAGGTAGGAGGAAGAAGACTGGAGGCACAGGAAAAGGAAGAAGCATACACAAAGGTGGACAAGATTTATGAGTATGGGATGTTCAGAGAACATCAGTTTAAATTTGGCTGCAGCAGAAGGTTCAGGTTAAGGAGTGGGGAGCGAGAAGATTTGAACATTTGTCAAGAGCCAAAGAAATTTGAAATGTATCTTCAGTCTCACCATAATTACTCCATGAGATGGACAGACTGTACCTGTCTATCAGTCAGCGATTAGTACTCATTGAAGTAACAGAATCAGGGGATTCTCTCTCAACTCCCATGAGAGAGTTTGTAATTTCCTGCTTAACCTCATAATGGCTATCAGAAATCCTTAGAGACTATGGAGAAATTCTGAATCTTTTTTTTTTTTTTTGAGATGGAATTTCACTCTTTTTGTATAGGCTGGAGTGCAATGGCACTCTCTCAGCTCAATGAAACCTCCACCTCCTGGGTTCAAGTGATTCTCCTGCCTCAGCCTCCCAAGTAGCTGGGATTACAGGTGTGTGCCACCACACCCCGCTAATTTTGTATTTTTAGTAGAGGTGGGGTTTCACCATGTTGGCCAGGCTGGTCTTGAACTCCTGACCTCAGGTGATCTGCCCACCACGGCCTCCCAAAATTCTGAATCTCATAGGTGGTAAAAGCTAAAAATGACCTTAAAACCATCTTTTTAAGGATACTGCCAAGTGTGTTACATACAATGTTAGACCTGGAAAATGTAAATTAGAGACCCCTCAGAAAAAATTTGGTGGTCAAAAAGGTTTGAAAACCACTGTATATTATATATCCCATTTTAAGATTAAAGCTTCACAAGTATATTAGCATATCAATTAAACTGAAATTGTGCAAAAAATCATTTTTATTCATAATTTAATAGATTTTATAATCACATAAAATTTATATTTCCCTTGGTTTGTTTGTTTGTTTTCCCAGAGGATCTTTGAAAGGGGGTCCATTGAATAATACTCTGGAAAAATAACTAATCCAGTGCTTCTCAATGGTTGTTTCTGGCCTAGCAGCATCAGTACCACCAGGGAACTGTTTAAAAATACAAATTGTCAGGCCCCTTCCGGACCTACTGAATCAGAAACTTTGGGGGTGGAACTAACAACCTATTTTAATAAGTCATCCTGGTGATTTTCATGCCACCCAAAAGTTTGAGAAACACTGCTCTAATCCAATATAGTTGCACAGGTGAGAATGTTCAGCCCCAGAAAGTTCAAATGCCCCTTCTGCCCCTGCAGGTCAGATTTTCACCTTGGTCATTGTGAGATCTTAGGCACCCCAAGTTTCAGATTATTCTGCCAATTAATCATCAACTCTCCCTGATGCTCCACAGTGATACACATTTCCAGCATCCACCTTAGAGCAACAGATTGTACAGTTGCACTCCTTGCAGAGGATTTACTTTCTTATGCTTTGATTCCATATCTCTATGGAGTGTTTATAGCTTGAATGGAAATAATATGTCTTAATACTGCCTGGGCCCCTACTTTAAAACAAATATGAATAGCAGATCAAATTATAGCATCTTTGTGTACAAAAGTCTTTTGCTATCTTTTATTCAAGAAATTGTTTAGAAAAGCCCCATGATTCTTCTCCGTAGGCCACCTTGTCTTTGTGAAGTGCTCTGGAAGTAATCTAGCATCATGAAGTATTACTAACAAATTATTAAAGAAAGGCTACTTAGTGAAGCAAAAAAAAATGAGGGGACTAAGCTTCATAAAATGGGGAAAAACAAATTTAAGTTTCGATTAAGAAAAATAATGGATAAATATTAGAAAAATATAAGGTAAAGTGATGAAGGACAATTTCATTTGGGTCAGTTTTGCTGTTGTGGTAGTGTTGGTGGTGGTGGTTGTTTTTAACTTTAACATTAGAAAGAAGATGAGGAGAGAAGTAAAATTTGATTTGGAAAGCAAAAATTGAAACAGAGCATTCATTTGGAATTTGTAAATTTTTATTCTATCAGAGTCATTGGTGTTCTCTGCCTTTCTAATTGTACACAATTTGAGCAGAAGAAGAAAAGCAAGTCTTCTTTAGCCATTTATGAGAATGTATTTCCACCAGTGTGATTTCCACTCCAGCTGTCACGAGCTGGGAGGATATATTCCCTCTGTGTAAATTTAAAGAGCCTGGCGGTAACATGAGTGGATGGCAGTAAATAACACTGCCACCTGCACTTAAATGGAATTTCTGATGTCTTGTTTTTCATTGCTGTCAGTAATGTATCTCACCTTAAAACAATATTTCATCTGACTTATAATGAAAATGATAATGTGGCCATGGTTTATTTATGGCATGCATTTCTATTGGCCGGGTTGAGTTTTGTTGTAGTCACATTAATCAAACGCAAAATTGATTTTGGTTCAGCACTGAAACTCTTCAAAATTACTTTTCAAAAATGATACTTTTTAAAACATAGAGAAAGACACATTATAAAGCCACAAAATTTTTTCAGTATAAGATCAGCTTGATAATGTGTTTTTCTTTTATAAAGAGTTATTTATCAACAGTTTTCCAAGAAAAGAGTTTGTTTGTTTGTTTGTTTGTTTTCAGGAAAGATAAGACAGCACGGTTACATCTACTCAGATGAAATTACAATTTCACTGAAGAAATTTTCTGATTTTAATAAAATAGGAGTTTGTCAGAAACATTTACAATAAGTTATTGGAAGACGTTTCTTCCTCTCACACATGCCTAAAGTCCGATCGAAAAATCCTGTTCTGAAAAGTGAATGCAAGCTTGCTTACTGAATGATTCATTGTTAACTTTTCTTTCAGTGAATGAAAGAGATCAAGAGAACTGAATCTCTAAGCCACTACCCATCTTCATACAGGGTGGAAGAATATACAAGACAGAAGATCTCATTTAACTGAAAATTTAACTTCGACTTTAATATTCCTAGAGTTTTTCTACACATGAAATATTAGAAAACATGCTACCTTGTATGTGATAAAATTTAAAAATGACATGCTGCATGTTTAATATTGAATTTATACTCATATTGCATATTCATGATTCATTACACAAATTTATATTTTACAGGTATATAACAGACAGAGTCAATGAGAATTACTGGCCATAAAAATAATTTATAGAGTAAAAGGCAAAGTATATTGTTAGTACCGGGGAAGAGCATGCATGTGAATCAAGTTGCAGTGCTTATTACTTGTATGAACCTTGGGCAAGTTATTTAAACTTTGTTATTCAGTGTTCTCGTCTGCAAACTGGGTATAATAAGTAGCGTCAACTTCACGGGATTGCTATGAAGATTAATAAATTAACATTTATAAAGTATTGAAATAAGGCCTAGCATATAATAAGATATAGATTAGTGTTTGTTAAATGAAATAAATATATCCGTTGGAGCAAAAAAGTTGAGTCATTTCTCCCCATTAAAATTATTTCTAGTGTTGTCTCTAATAATTAAGTACTATCACCAATGACCAAAAATGTCACTTTTAGAAAATTCATGTATATAACACAAATTTTAATGTTAATAATTTCATTGAGAAGTGCCTTGGCACCTAATTGATGACCTCATGGATTGAAAGATTATGAAAGTGTGAAAGTGAAAAAGCAAGTATTATATTTTTAGAAAAATAATTTTTGCATTCCCTGTAACCAAAACATTTTTCTTTTTCTTTTTTTTTTAAAGTAAGTAAAGGAGGTGTTTTATTATTTGTTAAATAGCTTCACAAATAATTCATTCTGATTATTCTGTTTTAATTGGCCAAGATACTTCTTACAATTGGGCTAATTCTGTTTCTCTTTTCTCTTGCTTTGAAGCAGTACAAAACAAGCAGACACCCATGGCCTTTCCATGTCTAAGATGAGTCTAATCTAAATATCCATGAATTATACTTAAAATTATGACTGACTAACATGTGCTGAGAATCCTATAACAAAATGATAGCTTTCTTAATATTTGCTTTGAATCAACATTGTTACTAGCTCCTTTGCTAATTGGTTGAGTGCTTTCTAGATTTAAAAAAACATTAAGTAAGGTGGGATTTTGCATAGATATGCATACACACACAAATACACACACCAACACCCCAAGTTAGACTAGACAGAAAACAACCCCTTAGACAGTCCCTCAAAAGGCTGGAGCATTAGATGTGCATGCTTCAATCTTCTTTGTGTTTTTTTTTTTTTTTTTAGATTTTCTTTGATTTTTTTTTCTTTTTTTATTATTATTATACTTTAAGTTTTAGGATACATGTGCACAATGCGCAGGTTAGTTACATATGTATACATGTGCCATGCTGGTGTGCTGCACCCATTAACTCCTCATTTAGCATTAGGTATATCTCCTAATGCTATCCCTCCCCCCTCCCCCCACCCCACAACAGTCCCCAGAGTGTGATGTTCCCTTCCTGTGTCCATGTGTTCTCATTGTTCAATTCCCATCTGTGAGTGAGAACATGTGGTGTTTGGTTTTTTGTCCTTGTGATAGTTTACTGAGAATGATGATAGTGCCACAATAAACATACGTGTGCATGTGTCTTTATAGAAGCATGATTTATAGTCCTTTGGGTATATACCCAGTAATGGGATGGCTGGGTCAAATGGTATTTCTAGTTCTAGATCCCTGAGGAATGGCCACACTGACTTCCACAATGGTTGAACTAGTTTACAGTCCCAACAACAATGTAAAAGTGTTCCTATTTCTCCACATCCTCTCCAGCACCTGTTGTTTCCTGACTTTTTAATGATCCCCATTCTAACTGGTGTGAGATGGTATCTCATTGTGGTTTTGATTTGCATTTCTCTGATGGCCAGTGATGATGAGCATTTTTTCATGTGTCTTTTGGCTGCATAAATGTCTTCTTTTGAGAAGTGTCCATTCATATCCTTTGCCCACTTTTTGATGGGGTTGTTTGTTTTTTTCTTGTAAATTTGTTTGAGTTCATTGTAGATTCTGGATATTAGCCCTTTGTCAGATGAGTAGGTTGAGAAAATTTTCTATCCACCATGATCAAGTGGGCTTCATCCCTGGGATGCAAGGCTGGTTCAATATACGCAAATCAATAAATGTAATCCAGCATATAAACAGAACCAAAGACAAAAACTACATGATTATCTCAATAGATGCAGAAAAGGCCTTTGACAAAATTCAACAACCCTTCATGCTAAAAACTCTCAATAAATTAGGTATTGATGGGACATATCTCAAAATAATAAGAGCTATCTATGACAAACCCACAGCCAATATCATACTGAATGGGCAAAAACTGGAAGCATTCCCTTTGAAAACTGGCACAAGACAGGGATGCCCTCTCTCACCACTCCTACTCAACATAGTGTTGGAAGTTCTGGCCAGGGAAATTAGGCAGGAGAAGGAAATAAACGGTATTCAAGTAGGAAAAGAGGAAGTCAAATTGTCCCTGTTTGCAGACGACATGATTGTATATCTAGAGAACCCCATTGTCTCAGCCCAAAATCTCCTTAAGCTGATAAGCAACTTCAGCAAAGTCTCAGGATACAAAATCAATGTGCAAAAATCACAAGCATTCTTATACACCAATAACAGACAAACAGAGACCCTGTAACCAAAGCATTTTTCAAGCTGAAAGTTGTGTTAAAAATATATTACATTTTCATGACACATAGCAGAGTGAACACTAAAGCAAATACAAAGTACGAATAGGAGATAATGTGAACTCTCAAAGGACAAAAATAAATAAATAGATAGATAACTAAATAAATAAATAAAATAAGAACTCAAGTATATAAAGATGACCCCAACTTAAGAAAATTGAAATTATTGTTTGTACATTTCAGTTTTTCAAGTTGGGATCATCTTTATATATTTGAATTCTTATATCATTTATTTATTCTTTATTTCACATTAACCTAAGGATGTTACCTACCACAAATTTAACCATTTATTAGAATTACCAGAAAATCTTAAAATAATGTGGCTATGTGATTGGGGGTGGTGGGGAGAGAATCTAAGTGGATTTTATCATATAATCAATTTTCAAATGATATACCATGTCATATTGTGAGAAACAGAATAAATAACACACTAGAAGAAATATGCCTTGCTAAAAGGCAATTCTACAAGTGATGTATTTACTTCATTTGTGGCTACCAGAATCATGACTGCAAGGTCAGTCCAGATGGCAATGTCTAGATGACGATGCTAGGAGAGGTCCTTGACTTACAACTTTAAAAAGCATCAGAAGTGACTACTTAAAAATGTCTGTTTCATCCAGCCTGGCTGTGAGCATGGAAAATGTCTATAAGTGGTCCCTTCTGGGAATTGATGTTTTAATAGGTCTGTAAGGACAATGGAGCTTAAGATGTTGGCAAATGTAGTGAAGTGATGGACAACAGACTCTATAAAGGCTAAAGAGGAATTTCTACATTTGAGAAAGTAATTCTATTCAGTCTGTACTTGGAAAATATTTGATCTAGTGGAATGGAAAATTTTTCCCTGATATTTTGGCATTTGTTGAAATATTTTCTAGGCAGTGATTCTTCAGCCACTGTGTCACATTGCTGTGGGTTGCTCTGAACAATTCAGAGGTATGTAGACATATTTTAACCAACATGCATGCACTATTGTTTAACTATTACTGAAGACACAAGTTGTTACAGTGATTTCCTTCAGAAAAATCATTAAGTTAAAGAAAGAAACAAAGCATGAGTTCAGTTAATACCAAAAAGAACACGTTTTTGATTATAGACAAAAACTTTGACTACTAACCATTTTTTCATTTTTGAAACAGAGTCTTGCTCTGTCGCCTAGGCTGGAGTGCAGTGGTGCAATCTCAGGTCACTGCAGCCACTGGCTCCTGGGTTCTAGCGATTCTCCTGCCTCAGCCTCCTGGGTAGCTGGGATTACAGGCACATGCCACCACACCCTGCTAATTTTTGTATTTTTAGTAGAAATGGGGTTTCACCATGTTGGCCAGGCTAGTCTCAAACTCCTGACCTCAGGTGATCCACCCACCTCAGCCTCCCAAATTGCTGGGATTACAAGTGTGAGCCACTGCACCCAGCTGACTACTTACCTTTTAAGATAAAGTCAGGGTAGTACAGTTCTACTAAAGCATCATCAGAGTATTGAAGGTAAGCAAGTCAAGAAAGTGATCATTTTTTATCATTTTTTGATCAAGAATGCATACTGGCATCTATTAACAGCCAAGCAGGTATGTTGTAGGCTGTTAGGTGAAAACACACAGTTCAACCTACTTTTTAAGCTGTTTTCTTGAAATCATCCCTGCCTCATTTATAATTGTTTTGAATTTTATATAATGTTATGATTCTGTATGGTGGCAAATAAATTCAAATATTCAATAATTTGCTCCAAATACAGAAAGGATGAAAAAAAAAACAGCTAAAAAGAGGCCTGTGATTTCTTCAAATCCTGAAAAGAAAGAATACTATTAACATTTTGTGTTTATAGTAATCATCATTTCCTTCAATATAACAACACTTAAATTTGGCCTTCTAAGGCCTTCTAACACATAATTTGGCTAGCAGTCTATCAATTTTGTTGATCTTTTCAAAAAACCAGCTCCTGGATTCAATGATTTTTTTGAAGGGTTTTTTGTATCTCTATCACCTTCAGTTCTGCTCTGATCTTAGTTATTTCTTGCCTTCTGCTAGCTTTTGAATGTGTTTGCTCTTGCTTCTCTGGTTCTTTAATTGTGATGTTAGGGTGTCAATTTTAGATCTTTCCTGCTTTCTCTTGTGGGCATTTAGTGCTATAAATTTCCCTCTACACACTGCTTTAAATGTGTCCCAGAGATTCTGGTATGTTGTGTCTTTGTTCTCATTGGTTTCAAAGAACATCTTTATTTCTGCCTTTATTCGTTATGTACCCAGTAGTCATTCAGGAGCACGTTGTTCAGTTTCCATGTAGTTGAGCGGTTTTGAGTGAGTTTCTTAATCCTGAGTTCTAGTTTGATTGCACTGTGGTCTGAGAGACAGTTTGTTATAATTTCTGTTCTTTTACATTTGCTGAGGAGTGCTTTACTTCCAACTATGTGGTCAATATTGGAATAAGTTCGAAGTGGTGCTGAAAAGAATGTATATTCTGTTGATTTGGGGTGGAGAGTTCTGTAGATGTCTATTAGCTCTGCTTGGTGCAGAGCTGAGTTCAATTCCTGGATATCCTTGTTAACTTTCTGTCTCGTTGATCTGTCTAATGTTAACAGTGGGGTGTTAAAGTCTCCCATTATTATTGTGTGGGAGTCTAAGTCTCTCCAGAATCTACAAAGAAATTAAACAAATTTACAAGAAAAAAAAAAACATCAAGAAATGGGCGAAGGATATGAACACACACTTCCCAAAAGAAGACATTTATGCAGCCAAGAGACACATGAAAAAATGCTCATCATCACTGGCCATCAGAGAAATGCAAATCAAAACCACAATGAGATACCATCTCACACCAGTTAGAATGGTGATCTTTAAAAAGTCAGGAAACAACAGGGGCTATAGAGGATGTGGAGAAATAGGAACACTTTTACACTGTTGGTGGGACTGTAAATTAGTTCAACCATTGTGGAAAACGGTGTGGCGATTCCTCAAGGATCTAGAACTAGAAATATCATTTGACCCAGCCATCCCATTACTGGGTATATACCCAAAGGACTATAAATCATGCTGCTATAAAGGCACATGCACACGTATGTTTATTGCGGCACTATTCACAATAGCAAAGACTTGGAACCAACCTAAATGTCCATCAATGATAGACTGGATTAAGAAAATGTGGCACATATACATCATGGAATACTATGCAGCCATAAAAAAGGATGAGTTCATGTCCTTTGTAGGGACATGGATGAAGCTGGAAACCACCATTCTCAGCAAACTATCACAAGAACAAAACACCAAACACAGCATGTTCTCACTCATAGGTGGGGAATTGTCTCACTCATGGACACGGGAAGGGGAACATCACACACCAGGGCCTGTTGTGGGGTGGGGGAAGGTGGGGAGGGAGAGCATTAGGAGATATACGAAATGTAAATGACGAGTTAATGGGTGCAGCACACCAACATGGCACATGTATACATATGTAACAAACCTGCACTTTGTACACATGTATCCTAGAACTTAAAGTATAATAGAAAAAAAAGAAAGAAAATCAAGGAAATATCTAAACTAGAAGAAAATAGGTTCTTGTTATGTAGTGGCAGAAATTTAGCAAAACTGCCACCTGCAGTAATGTGCAGTACAGGAATTTACATACTTATGAAAAGATTACCAAGCAGAATATTGCAACTGCCTCCTGGATTTTTCCTGCTGTCTATGATAAAATGTGGGAGAAGAGAGCTAAGTTAAATAATATCTTGTTAAATACAAAGACAGAGATCACTAGGCTCAAAAATAAAACTTTCACATTCAAAGACTATTCAGATGACAGAATATTCTCAAAGTAAGAAAGTGTCTCAAGCCAAAGATAAAATCCATGGTGAGACAATAAAATCCTTTGCTAAAACCGCAGATAGAACTAAAATGATGCCTCATGGAGACTTTCAGTCAGATAGCATCCTTTGAGTATACCTCTCAATTAAACAATGGCCCTTCTTTGAATTTCTAAGTATCCTAAGGACATCTCTCTTCTTTAAACGATACTCAGCTTCAAATACAGGCTATATTTCATAGAAAAAGAAAAATAGAATAATAAGAGGATGAAACCAAGACTCCAGAGGAGAGAGCCAAGATGTGGGGAATCATTTTCAGGAAGCAGTACTAGATCTCAACAAGAATTAAGATTATGATTAGTTGGATTTCAGAATTACTACAGACCAGTGACTCATGTGTGCCTTTTGCTTTCCACTTTTTAAATTAGAATGCCTATTGAAGTTATACAATACTGTCGTAGCATTGTATGTTGCATATGGGGATAGAGGGTGCAGATAATTTGTCTCTGTAGTTCACAGGTCTTCGAATCAAGAAGGGGCCTTGAGGAGCTGCACCCAAAGAAATGAACTCAAGTATTGTCATCTGTACCTGCCTTCATTGAGATGATGAAGCCTTAACTTGTTGCTTTAGCAACACGAGACTTTGGGGATGTCTTGGGAGGAAGTGAGTACATCATGCATGTGGAAGAAATGTAAATAAATTTTGGTCATTTTAAAACCTGACCTAGAAATTCTCTGACACTCCTCCCATCAAAAACTGGGGCCTATATAACATCCCATTAAATTTTATTTCTGTGACTATTTGAGCAATAGAATATAGTGGAATTGATGTTTTGCTAGTTTTGGGGCCAAAGCCTTAAGAAACTGGCAGCTGCCACTTCCTGTTGCTTGGAGTACTTGCTCCTGTAACCCAGGCATCAATCCATGAGGATGCACCCTGTGGAGGTGCCCATATAGTGAGGCCCATGTGGAAAGGAACCAAGCAGCCCCTGCTCTCAGCCTGAGTTGAGCTCGTGAACAATAGACAGCACCAAATTGCACCCCATGTGAGTAAATCAACTTAGAGGTGGATCCTCCAGTTCCCAGTGGAGTGGCCCCTGCTGATACTATCTTGAAAAGAAATAAACTTTCTCTGCCTGATCCCATTTCATACCATAATAATTGTGATTTATCTATGCAGTAACAGACAACCAAAACATAACTATCACAAGATAAATAATCTTGAGGAAAAGGAAGATGTTTTGGTAGTAAAATTATGAGTGCTACAGAGGGTTAAGAGAATTGTTATTTTTAAGAAGTAATCTCTCTCTTTGTAGATTTATACTACCCAGACCAGGTGTCTAATAAAATAATCTCTGAAAACCAGCTCTTTTTCTTTTAAAAGAAAAAGTAAGTACTAGAGAATTTTTAAAGTTTATTCAAAATTCAAGTGGAATCATTAAAATAATGAACAAAAAATAAGAAATATTGATCCTTATATTCTTGTTGTTCAGAGAGATTGAGTCTGACACACTTTTTATTAGAATAACTAGTACTGGAATCAATTGCATTCATACTGGTAATATTCAAACAAAATATTCATACTAATTTTAATGCCCAGAGGTAAAATGATTGACAAGTTCACCTCTATTTTAGTTTTCTTTTCTGACTATGTTATGAAATCAAAGGTAATTTCTCTCTCTCATAAAATGGTATAAAGGAAACACACAAGGTTACTCTCCTAGTGCTTCCTCTCCTCCTTCTTCTCTTCTTCCAACTTTTCAAAATGTTAAAAATAACTATACATCCTCAAAATCTAGTTAGAAAGTAATTCATTTGCTCTTCAATATGTTGCCTTTTATAATTAAATTTCAGGTAGAGATTATGCTTTGAGGATGTAAATGTATTATTCAACTAAAGACTATTCTATAAAATGTTAATCTTACCATTTTTAATTGAGCGTGGGATGTTTGCCTTGGTCTTTGTGTAAAGTGTGTTTCACGTGAGGCAGGGAAATCAGTTTTCAATGAGCAAAAATATGTGATATGCTTCTCCTAGGAGGTGTGCAGTTTACCAGTTCCACTTGGAGGACACTGCAGCTGTAGTGTGATTTAGGTTATAGTCTCAGCCATTTGACATCAACTCTGCTGTTGACCAGACCTTCAGCAGACGTGACAAGAACCACTTGATTTAAAACCCTTTTTCTATGATGCTCCAGTTCTTGAAGTATAGATTACACTAGATGAAAGGACATTATTCTTTCCCAGTGTAATTCTCAAAGACAACCACTCTGCATTCTCTAAGTGGGCTCAGTGTATGCCTGAGGAAAAGTGAATTAAGCTTGATGTAGGAAGTAGGCATCAACATACACAATTCAGAAATTTAGGCAAGCAACATCAGTGTTTCTTTGATTATTCTAAGCATCCTCCAAAACAAAAACAATTTGCCTTCTAAAGCTCATATTATACTGATTATTGGATAATTTAGCTAATGCCTAACATACTGCATTATTGACATAATTGGTACACCAAGGCACTTTTATGAGTTCTTTTAAAGTGGAGTCCACACACATTAAAAACTGAAGAAGTCACTTAAATTCTGACTTTCAGTTTTCGTATCTACAAAATAAAAATAATATCAAGTATTTTTATTTTAAAAATGCATAATGAGGATGAAGATAGGTTGGTAAATGAGTGCAAAAATATAGTTAGATAGAAGGCATAAGATCTAGTATTAGAAAGTATCGAGTATATCTCAGTGTCTGAAGTAATGAATGTCCCCATTACCCTTATTTGATTATTACATATTTTATGCATGTATCAAAATATCACCTGTACCCCCAAAATATATGCAACTATTACGTATCAGTAAAAATAATTATTGAGGATATAATGAATATAAAAAAACTGGTAAAACATCTGATACCCAACAAATAGTAGCTATTATTATAATTACATGTAATATATAAGAAAAATCTTAAGCTTGTGCTCTAAATCATAGTTCTGAGTAATATTTTTTTGCTATCACATATCTGTTCTGATATAAATGTTGATAAAAATTACAAGATAAAAGTAAATGGGAGTAAATTAAAAATTGTATTTTTATATAAAAATATCTGAGTGATTACTACAGGTTGAATAAGAATGGAACATTTATAGTTAGTGTGAAGAAGATTTTAGAGGTTTTACCTGACCTAAAATTCAACATGAGTTTATGATATGCTTTCTAACATAGTTTTAGCCTTGTTAATAGAAAAAAATTCAAAATATTTGAAATATGATGTCATCATCATGGACAAAGATGAAACACCAGTTTTACTATTGCATTTGTTATGGGTACCAAATCCTAAAAGAAATTTTGACAAATAAGTGTCTGCAGAGAAAGTGAGGGATTTGAAAGTTATTTATAAAGAAAGATGAACTCTTATATACTAATATTTACCTTGAATTAAAGAAAAATAAAGGAACAATGATAATAATTGCCTTTAAATATAAGACACAGGAACAGATTTTCTTCCAAACAGGCATATCAACAATCAATTGGTAAAAGAATATAGAATATGGTAGGGGTCAGTGATCTTGGGATGATATGATGATAAATAAATAGTGGGCATTCACTGAGAAGGAAGAATGTGGTTATGTACATGCTGTGTGGAAAATCTCAAGCACGACATGGATGGGAGAAAAATGAAAAAAAACTAGGGAACCTTAGGTGATCTCTATGGTGCATTTCACCTCTACAGATATGAATATTCAAAGGCAAATCTTTTATTTTTCTTTACTTATTTACTTATTTTAGAAAAGAGAATGAGAATGTGAAACAGATATAGGCACATTGAAAAGTAATAAGCTGCTATGAAAGAGCAAGCATTTGGAGTTATTTAAATCTCTGCTCTGCCTCTGATAGGCAAATGCCTCACTTTATTTTTTTAAATCATCAATAAAACAGAGAAATTTAGCTTATAAATTTATCTTAACTATTAAATTTGTTACTTTTTAAAGGTATGTGGTATGCCTATAAATATTGTTTATTGTAAAAGTATAGCTCCAATGTAAAAGTGTTTGTAATAAAACTATGTGTGTATAAATACATATACATATGAAATACATATTTTCAAGAGATCAATTTAAGAGAAAGAATTATTTAACCTTTCTATAGAAAATAAGTTCTACAAGTTGAAAAATTATCATTAGCATTATAAATATATTTAAAATATACTTGGTTCACAAAGAAGATTTACTCTTCTATTCCTTCCATTAAATAAATAATTCACCATAACCTATTTAAAAGACATTTCCTTTACTATCTTATATATACCTTTAAATATATTTTCTTATTTTTCTCACATAAGTGTTTGGAATATTTAGGTAATATATCAACATGATTTTTAAGCTCTCATTGATTTATGGAAACCGAACAAGTATTGTTCTAACTTTTTGTCCAAACTTATGCTCAAACATATTATTTTTAACCTTGCATAGAGATAGGAAGATAATTTTGCTGATCAAGACTGTGTTTCTTCTTTGCCCTTCCATGAATTCAAAATTCCCATTTTCATCTATATAATTAACAATCATTCCCATTAATCATTGAGTTTGATCATTCTTATATTTCAGAAAATGCATGAATATATAAAATTATTCATATGAATTCTAATGACAATGTAAAAACCCCTCATTTTAGAATAAAAGTATTTAGAAATTTTGTTTTTTATGTAAATATCCTTTATTTGAATTTTAAAATTAAGTTCATAAAACAACAGTAAGTAAACAAAAAGCCCAATTTAAAAATGAACAAACTATCTTAACACCTTACCAAAGAATATGTACAGATGGAAAATTAGCATATGAAAAGATGTTCAATATCTTATGTCATAAGGGAATAACAAATTAAAACAACAATGAAATACCACTACACACCTATTAGAATGGCCAAAATCCAAAACACAGACAAAACCAAATAACAAGGAGCAACAGGAATTCTCATTTATTGCTGCTGGGAATGCAAAATGGCACAGCCACTCTGGAGGATAGTTTGGCACTTCCTTACAAAACTAAGCATAAACGTACTATACAATCCAGTAATATGCTCCTTGACACTTACCCAAAGGAGTTGAAGACTTATGTCTACACAAAACCTTGCACATGAATGTTTATAGTAGCTATACTCATAATTGTTAAAACATGGAAGCAACCAAAATGTCCTTCAGTAGGTGAATGATAAATAAACTTCCGTCATCCAAACAACAGAATATACTTCAGAGCTAAAAAGAAATGAGCTATCAAACCATGAAAAGACATGGAGGAAAGGTAAATGCATATTAGTAAGTGAAAAGAGTCTATCTCAAAAGACCACATATGAAGAAAGATACACTTTGGTTGGGGGAAGGAGAGTAAAATGAACACCTGACTTTTCCTCAGTCCCATCATCAGACTTAGCTCATTGAAATCTGGTGCTAGCCCAGCCCCCAAATATCAGACTCCAGGCTGGCATCTACAGACCAAGCCTTTAGGCCACTTTCACAGCTAGGCCAGCCCCCACAACCTCAGGCTCCAGAATAGTAGCTGTGGCCCTAGTATTCAGGCCTGCCACAAAGTCAGGTTAGCCCTGGTATCCCCAAGGGTAGTTTCCACAAACTTAGGTTCCAGTCCAATGCCAGGTTCCAAGCAGGCCTTCATGGCCCCACAACCCAGAAGAGTCAGGTCCAGGCCTACCCTAGTAGACTCCAGCACCAGACAGGTCCCTCAAGACCTATGGTTCCTGGCCCCACCACAGCTTTAGGTAGGTTCTCCATGGCCTCGGCCTCAGCCTCAGATCAGAACCCCCACAACCTAGCCTCTAGACAAGAAACCACAGACCCAGGCACACAGACCTGGGATAAATGCCTTCCCAAGAACCAGGCTGGTCCTAGGTTGGAGTTTACAGGGGCATTTCTAAAACCTGTGCAAACTCAAGCTCAAGAACTACTCAGTACCAGGCCAGCCTCCATGGATCCAGGTTGTAGACATACCCCTGTAGAAACAGGCTCCAGGCCCATCCCCATCGACACAGGCTCCAGCCTCAATACCAGGAACCCAGTTGACAGGCCCCCTCCAGTGGACCCCAGCACCAGGTCTGTCCTCATAAACCTAGGATCCAGGCCCACCCCAGTGGACCCAAGTCCCAGACTAGCCTTAATGAACTCAAGTTCCCAGACAACCCTTGTGGACCCTGGTGCCAGTTCTGCCCACGTGCTGACCAAGGCAACAAGATAGTCAAGCTAAGGACTCACGCATTAAGCTTGCTCATGAACCTTGTCAGATGATCCACCCAGAATCTGTGTATGGTCTGACTAGTAAAAGGCTTTCCCTGCAGAAATCAGTCCACAAAGACTGAAATAGGTGCCTATTTCTTCAAATACATCAACAAAATGGAATCCCACAATGATCAAAAATAATCAAGATACAACCTTAAAAAACAAAAGCACATGTAACCAACCTTAAACAAATAGAGATTTAGGAACTGCCTGACAAAGAATTTTTAAAATTATATAGAGAATCTCAGTAAGCACCAAGAAAACACAGAAGAACAATTAAACTAAATCAGGAAGACAGTACACAAACAAAATGAGAAGTTCAACAGAGATAGAAACCATAAAAAAGGACTAAGTAATAACAGAAAGGAAATATTCCATAGAGAATTTTAACAGCATATTTGATCGAGTAGAAAAAAACAATAAATGCACATGAAGACAGGTCATTTGAAATTGTCCTGCCAGAGGAAAAAAAAAGAAAAAGAAAATGATAAGTAATGAAGAAAGCTTATGAGACTTATGGACAACATCAGATGAAACAATATATGAATTATGAGAGTTCCAGAAGTATAAGAGGAGAAGAGGAAAGAAAGTTTATTTAAAGAAACCATGACAGAAAACTTCTCAACTGTGGAGTGGAAAATGAGCAAGCAGATCAATGAAGGCCAAAGACTCCTAATAGATGACATATAGAGATCTTTACCAAGACATTATGATTTAACTCTCAGAAGTCAAAAACAAAAAAATAATTTTGAAAGGAGAAAGATAAAAGCAACAAAGATTTCTCAGCACAAACTCTACAGGCAAGGAGAAGATGGGATGATATATTTAAAGAGCTGAACAACACAACAACAAAATGCTAATGTATACCCAGTGTATTAGTCCATTTTCACACTGCTATAAAGAGACTCCATGAGACTAGACAATTTATAAGCAAAAGAGGTTTAACTGATTCACAGTTCCACATAGCTGGGGAGGCCTCAGGAAACTTACAATCACGGCAGATGAAGAGGTAGCAACACACGTCTTTGCAAGGTGGCAGGAAAAAGAGAGAATGAAGGAGGAACTGCCAAACACTTTTAAAACCATCAGCTTTTATGAGAACTCACTCACTATCAAGAGAGCAACATGAGAGAAAGCATCCCCATGATCCAATCACCTCCCACCAGTTACCTCCCTTGACATATGGGGATTACAATTTGAGATGAGATTTGGGTAAGGACACAAAGCCAAACCATATCACCCAACAAGGCTATCCTTCAGAAATGAAGAGATAAGGATTTTCCCAAACAAAAGCTGTGGGAATTCATAAGAACTATACCTTTATTGCAATACTAAAGGTAATTCTTCAAGCTGAAGTGAAACAACTCCAACTAACAACATAAACCCATAGGAAATTATAGGACTCACTGTAAACTTAAGAATATAGTCAAATTCAGAGTAGAAATTTAATGGTGGTATGTAAATCTTTTTATATTTTTTAATTGACATAAAATTGTATCTATTTGCCATGTACAAAATATTGTTTTGAAATATATATACATTATGGAATGACTATATCTAGCTAAGATATGCATTATCTCACGTAATTATCATTTTGTTATGAGAACACTTTACATCAATTATCTTAGAATTTTTCAAGACTACAATAAACTGTTAACTATAGTCACCATGTTATACAATAGATCTCTTGAACTTATTCCTCCTATATAACAAATTTTGTATCCTTTAACCAACATCCCCCCAACACCACCCCAACAACCTCAGCCTCAGGTAATCACCATTCTACTCTCTAGTTCAATGAAGCCAACTTTTTTACATTCCACATATTAGCGAGATTATGCAGAATTTGTCTTTCTGTGCCTAACTTAGTTCACATAACATAATGTCCTCTGGTTCTATCCATGTTGTCACAAATGACAAAATTTTATTTTTTTAATGGCTGAATAGTATTTTTTGTGTACATATATCATATTTTATTTACCATTCATTTATTGATGAACACAACACTTAGGCTGATTTCATATATTGGCTATTGTGAATAATATTGCAATAAAAATGGCAGTATAGATACCTCTTAGACATACTGATTTTATTTCCTTTGAATATATATCCAGTATGAGACAGCTGGATCATATGGTAGTTCTATTTTTATTTTTTGTAGGAACCACCATACTAATCTCCATATGGCTATACTAATTTACAGTCCCAACAACAGTGTTTGAGGATTCCCTTTTTTCCACCTCCTCATTAACATTTGTTATCTTTAGTCTTTTTTATAGTAACCATTCTAACAGATGTGAGGTGATATCACATTGTGGTTTTAATTTTAAGGTTAAGTGACCATGTATTGAAAACAATAACAGTTAAAAAATTTTAAGGAATATGCAATATAAAAAATGTAAATCATAAAATTGAAAACTAAAAATGAGAGGAGAGTTGAGTGAAGGTACAGAGTTTTTATTATCAAATTTGCCATCAGCTTAAAAAAAAATGTTACAAGATGTTATTTGAATGCCTCATGGTAACCACAAAGTAAAATTTGTAATTGATAAACAAAAAATAAAAAGCAAAGAATTGAAACATACCACTAGGGAAAATCACTTAGTCATAAAAGAAGACAGCAATAGAGGAACAAAGAAATAAGAGATCTACAAAACAACTAGAAAAACAATTAACAAAATGGCAGCAGTAAGTTGTGATCTAATAATAATACCTTTGTATTGGTATTATGGATTAAATTATCTAATCTAATGACATAAAGTGGGAGAATGGATTAAAAAAAATAGGACCCAACTATATGCTGCCTACAAAAGACTCACTGCACCTGTAAAAACACACATAGACAAAAAGTAAGGTGATGTGAACAGATATTTCATGCAAATGGAAACCAAGAGAGAATAGAAGTACCCATACTTATGACAGATAAAATAAACTTGAAGTCAAATACTGTAAAAAGAAACAAAGAAAGTCATTATATAATAATAAAGGGGTCAATTCATCAAGATGATATAAAAATTTTAAGCATATATGCATTCGACATCGGTGAAACTAAACATATAGAGCAAGTATTAACAGAATTAGATGAAGAAATAGAAAGCAATACGATAATACTAGGGTACTTTAATACCTCACTTTTAACTATGTGTAGATCATCAAGACAGACAAACAATAAGGAAGAAGCAGACTTGAATAATGCTACAGATGAAATAAACCTAACAGCCTTATACAGAACATTCCATCCAAAAGTACTAGAATACACATTCTTTTCAAGTGCACACAGAACATTCCCTAATAGAGGTCATATGTTAGGCCACAAAGCAAGCCTTAGCAAATTTAATAAGACAAATCACATCAAGTCATGTCAGGTATCTTATCTGATCATAGTTGTATAAAACTAGAAATCAATAACAGAAAGAACATGAGAAAATCCACAAGTGCATGAAAATTAAACAACATGTCCCTGGACAACAAATAGGTCAATGAAAAAATTAAAAAGGAAATTTAAAAAATTCTGGATACAAACAGATATGGACACACAATATAGCAAAACCTTCAGGATACATCAAAAGTAGTCCTAAGAGGGGAGTTTATAGTGATAAACACCTACATCTAAAAAGAAGAAAGATCTCAAGTAAACAACCAAATATTACATCTCAATGAACTAGAATAAAAAAGAGCAAACTAAGCCCAAAGTCAGCAGAAGAAAAGAAATATTAGAGCATAAATAAATAAAATAATAGATAAAAAAGAAAAATAAATGACAGAGCTGGTCTTTTGAAAAGATAAACAAAATCAACAAATCTTTATCTAGATCAAGAAAAAAGGAGACTATATCAATAAAATCATAAATGAAAGAGGAGATATTATGCCTGATACCACTAAATACAAAGAATCATAAGAGACTACTTTGAACAACTGTACGATAACACATTTGATAACCTAGAAGAAATTGATAAATTCCTAGAAATATACAACCTACCAAGACCAAGTCTTAAAAAAATAGAAAATCTCAACAGACCAATAAAAGTAAAGGCATTGAACCAGTAATCAAAAACCTCCCAAAAAAGAAAAGTCTACAACTAAATAGCTTCATAGCCGAATTCTACCAAACATTCAAAGAAGTAATGCCCATGCTGCTCAAAAATTTGAAGAAGAGGGAATATTTTGGAAGTCATTTTGTGAGGACAGTGTTACCCCAATACAATTCCAGAAAGAGACATTGCAAGAGAAGAACATTATACGTCAATATCACTGATTAACATAGATTTAAAAATTATCACAAATACTAGCACATTAAAAGGATCACATATCATGAACAAGCAGGATTTATCCCTGGATTGCAGGGATGGTTGTTACACATATGTACATCAATAAATGGAATACACCGCATAAACATAAGAAGAAGAAAAAAACACAGTCATCTGAATAGATGCAGAAAAAGTGTTTGACAAAATTCGACATCCTTTCATGACAAAAATAAACTTTTAAACTTTCAACAAATTAGGTATTTAGGAATGTATCTCAACCTAATAAAGGCCATATATGACAGGCCAACAGCTAACATCATATCTCAATGGTCAAAAGCTGAAAGCTTTTCTCTAAGATTAATAAAAGACAAGGAGGCCCACCTCACAACTTCTATTCAATAGGATAGAAGTCCTAGCCAGAGCAATTGGGAAAGAAAAAGAAATAAACAGCATTCAAACTGAAATAAAAGTAATAAAATTGTGTCTGTTTACTTATGACATGATCTTAATTAGAAAATTATAGACTGTACTGAAAAAACTGTTAAAACTAATAAATTCAGTAAATTTGCAGCATACAAAATCAACAAACAAAATCAGTAGTGTTTCTATATACTAATAGTGAACTATCTAAAAAAATCAAGAAAACAATCCCAAGGAGGTTTCAACATATGCAAATCAATAAATGTGATACAACATATTCAACAGAATGAAGTATAAAAACCACATGCTCATTTCAACTAATGCTGAAAAAACATTTGATAAAATACAAAATCCCTTCATGATAAAAAAAAACTCAAAAAAATTGGGTGCATACCTCAACATAATAAAAGCCATATAAGACATACCCACAACTAGTATCATACTAAATGGGAAAAAACTGAAAGCCTTTCCTCTAAGATCTGGAACATGACAAGGATGCCCACTTTCACCACTGTTATTCCAGAGTACTGGAAGTCCTAGCTAGAGCAGTCAGACAAGAGAAGGAAATAAAGGGCATCTAAATTGGAATTTAAAAAGTCAAATTATCTTCATTGATAGATAATATAATATTGATATAATCTTACACTTAGAAAAAACTAAAGACCACAAAAAACTGTTAGAACCGATAAATTCAGTAAAGTTGCAGGATACAAATCTACATACAAAAATCAGCAGCACTTCTGTATGCTAACAGTGAAAAATCTGAAAAAGAAATTTACAAATTGATTCCATTTACAATAGCCACACATAAAATTAAATACTTAGGAATTAACCAAAGAAGTGAAAGATCTCTATAATGAAAACTATAAAACACTGATGAAAGCAATTGAAGAGGACACGCACAAAAAATGGAAAGATATTCCATGTTCATGAATTGGAAGAATCACTATTGTTAAAATGTCTATATTGCCCAAAGCAATCTATATATTCAATGTAACCCCTATCAAAATACCGATGACATTCTTCACAGAAATAGAAAAAAAAATCCTAAAATTTATATGCAACCACAAAAGACTCAGAATAGCCAAAGCTATCCTGAGTAAAATGAACAAAACTGGAGAGAATCACATTACCTGACTTCAAATTATACTACAGAGCTGTAGTAACCAAAACAGCATGATACTGGTATACAAACAGACATATATGCCAATAGAACAGATAGAGAGCTCATAAACAAATCCGAACACCTAAAGTAAACTCATTTTCGACAAAGGTGACAGGAACATACTTTGGGGAAAAGACAGTCTCTTCAATAAATGGTGCTGGGAAAACTGGATATCCCTGTGCAGAAAAATGAAACTAGATGCCTACCTCTCACCATATGCTAAAATCAAATCAAAATAGATTAAAAGCTTATATCAAAGTCCTCAAACTATGAAACTACCACAAGAAGACATTGAAGAAAATCCCCAGGACATTGTTCTTGGCAAAAAATTTGTGCACAATACCCAAAAGCACAGGCAACCAAAGCAAAAATGGACAAATGAGATCACATCAAGTTAAAAAGCTTCTACACAGCAAAGGAAAAAATCAACAAAGTGAAAAGACAACCCACAGAAAATATTTGCAAACCACCCATCTGACAAGGGATTAATAACCAGAATATATAAGGAACTCAAACAACTCTATAGAAAAATTCTAACAATCTGATCAAAAATGGGCAAAATATCTGAGTAGACATTTCTTGAAAGAAGACATACAAATGGGAAATAGGTATATGAAAGAGTGCTCAACATCATTAACCATCAGAGAAATGCAAATCAAAACTACAATGAGATATCATCTTACACCAGTAGAAATGGCTTATATTCAAGAGACAGGCAATAATAAATGCTTGTAAGAATGGGGAGAAAAGGGAACCCTCCTACACTGTTGGTGAGAATGTAAATTAGTACAACCACTATGGAGAACAGTTTGAAGATTCTTCAAAATACCAAAAATAGAGTTACTATATGAACCTGCAATCCCACTACTGGGTATATATCTAAAATGAAGGAAATCAGTGTATCAAAGAGATATCTGCACTCCCCCATATTTGTTGCAGCGCTGTTCACAATAGCTAAGATAGAAAATAACCTAAGTGTCAATTGGCAGATGAATGGCTAAAGAAAATGTGGTACATATACATAATAGAGTACTATTCAGCCATAAAAAAAAAATGAGATTCTGTCATTTGCAGCAACATGGATGGAACTGGAAATCATTATGCTAAGTGAAATAAGCCAGGCACAGAAAGACAAACATCGCATGTTGTCACCTATTTGTAGGATCTGAAACAATTAAACTCATGGAGATAGAAAGTAGAAGGATGGTTAACAGAGGCTGGGAAAAGTAGTAGCAGGATGGGAGAGAAGTGGGGATGGTTAACGGGTACAAAAAATAGAAAGAATGGATCAAATCTAGTATTTGATAGCACAACAAAGGGTGACTATAGTCAATGATATATTAATTGTATATTTTAAAATAACTAAAAGAGTGCAACTGGATTTGCAACACAAAGTATAAATGCTTGAGGTGATGGATACCCCATTCTCTGGGATATAATTGTTACACATTACATTCCTGTATGTATTGAAACATCTCATGTACCATAAAATGTATACATCCACAAAATTAAAAATAAAAAAATTATAAAAATAAATAAACTATGAGATATCACTTCAACAGTGTTAGAATATCCATTAGCAACAAGATAAAAGGTAAATGTTTTAGATGGTGTTGAGAAAAGCTGGACGATATTATGCTAAGTGAAATAAGCCAGACACAGAAAGACAAATATCTCCTGAGCTCTCTTATATGTGGAATCAAAACTAACTCATAGAAGCCTGGAGTAAAATGGCAGTTGCCAAGGGCTTGTTGGGGAAGAAGTGCATGGGGAGATGTTGGTCAAAAGACACAGAGTTTCATTAGACAGGAATAATAAATCTGAAGATCTGTTGCATAGCATGGTGACTATAGTTTAATCATAAATTATTATATACTTGAAAATTGCTGATAGTAGATATTAAATGTTCTTACCACATACAGACACACAAAGATTAAGTATCAGGTTCTGTATATTTTAATTAGCTAAATTAATCATTTCCCAATATATACATGTTTCAAAATATCACTTTGTGCACTGTAAATATATACAATTGTATCTATCAATTATATGTTATTAATGCATACATAATTGAGTGGAAAGAGAGAAATATAGAAACATTTAATAATTACCCCAACTCTAAAAGATGTGATTTTATATGGGACTCAATATGTCCAATTGCAGCTTTGACTAAATCTAGCTTTACAATACTCATTATTTGTTTTTTGCTTTTTAAACAATAGTTGGAATATTCTACTAATTGATCACCTATTTCGAATATGGCAATCTTCCCACTCACTTTATCATCTGAACTTGCTACCTGGTCAGGTGTTAATTAAACAGTGTGGCCATGCAAATGAAAAGCAAATTTGGCAGCTTTTAACATACATCAAAAATAATGTTATGGAAACCCAAAGTTCAAGCAAAGTACTAGGTTTATATGCCCATCTGTTATTGTTCACAGCCATAATTGAGTTGCTTTCCAGTTTTTGCAACTTACTTGAGCTCAGAGTAACAATCAGAGACCTAAATAGTTTCAATTTATAGAAACTGTCATCTACAAAACAATCCATTTTTTTCCATAAACTTCCCCCCCATCTTTAAATGTGCAAAAAAAAAGATGGGTTTTGAATTCAATAATCCTTGGGTTGGAATTCCTCCATCTGTTAGCTAAGTATGTGGATTAGAAGGCTATTTACTCTCTGAAACTAAGTTTTGTCACCTGCAAAATAATGTAATAAGCAATTAAATGAGATGAGGTATACCAAGCACTTAGCACAATACAGGACATATACGAACACTGTTAATATTTGCTATTTTTATTATTATTATGTATTTCTTCCAACATGCTGCAAGAGTTGTAAACAAATATATACTAAGGCGTATTTGTTCTCTGAGGGCTTAGGATAAAAAGTACATATGTAAAGTATTTAGAAATAATTATTTCAGTTGTATAAATGCCTTACATTTTTGTTATATTTCAAGAATTTCTATAAATATTTCAAGAATTATAAATATCACTGTCTTCATTTTACATGTGTGAATATTAAGAATTAGAGAATAAGTATGCTGAAAATAGTATTGCCTATCAAGTATTCTTTCCACAGCAGTATGCTACTACTAACTCCTAAGAAAGAAGCAAATTCTACAAGGCACATGTTTTCATTTGTAAAATAAATATCTGTTATTGGCATCACCGTGGGCTGAAATATAGGTGGGGAAGATTTCGTGGAAGAGGTGGCAAAGAATGTGCCTGGAAGTATCAAGTAAGTATATGAGAGAAACAAGACATACCAATGAGTATTTAAAACATGACCAAAAGCAAAAGGGGAAAAAACAAGGTGCCTCAAGCATGGGATAAAGAAGACACTAGATGTGGAGGACACATATTGATGAGTTGTGGGGAAAAAAAAGATAGTTACGTTAAAACAGTTAGTGTATAACCTCAAATTTCATAGTATGAAGGAGATTCTACTAGCACAGAGAATTTTTAGTTTGGAGAAATGAGTGACACGATGATAGAGGGTGGGGTTAAAACTTCTATTTCTAGATGATGCCTTCAGTGTGTTTTAATGCAGAATCTGCAATACTTTATGTTGAGGACCATATTGACATGACATAATGTGATTATATTATCAGTAAAGAAAATAAAATGCTATCCAAACTAATTTTCCCTCTATCACTCCTTCCTTCTTCCATCATTAGATGGCATATTCTTGACATTTAATTTATAGCATAAAGTGAGCAAATTTTCTTTGGTCACAGCTTATAAATGTCTGAGGATATTGTTTCTTATTAATTTTTTAAAGATAGTTTCCAAAAAAAAAATGCACGCCTCTTGGTTGTGAGAAAACTTTTTAGTTGCTTTAAATAAACCATGTTAGCGAGAAAAATGGCCACATACAGTCACAATTCTGCATCGTTCAGTGTCATATTGAGTCCAGCTTCCATCTCTCAGTATAGATTTCTGTTACATTCCTCCTAAGATTTCTTTTTTTTTTTGTAAGAACACTAAAGAAGTAGCTGTGACTCCACTTGTCTTCTGAAAAACTCCTTAAAATACCTCACAATTGGAAACATATTTGCTATTGACAGAAAATAACTTGCATGATCCTCCCTAAAAGGAATCACTGTACTTCTTATCTAACTTATCCAGGTTGTTAGGAAACATCTTTGAAATTCAAATTACCTGATGCAAATTATCTAGTAAATTTTGCCATTTTTTACAAGTAAAATTGATCCTGCTTTAACATAACCTTGAATTTTGAAATCACCCACAAATAACTATTTTATAAACTCCACTAAGACAACCATTTAGACATAATTCCCTTCACTTTGGAATGACCCCTAGTATTCTTGTTTAAACAAGCAAAAATAAAACAAAAAACTGTATCACCAAATTAGAATACAATTTGTGTTCTTGTTAATCTCTTAAAGATAAATCAGGCTTCCTCTTCTAAGATCCAAGAAAGTCTTAGAGAGTGATGGGCATAAAACATTACTGGAGACTTGAGTACTCAGAGAATACCATCTTATAGTCACTTATACTGTCTAGCAGGCTTGCTCAAACTTTTGGAATATTGGTGAGATTACAAAGCATCGCAAAACATAAATGTTGAAATACTTGCACTAAAAAAAAAATGATTTAAGAAACTCCAGCTCCCACAAATTTTGTAGGTCAGAGGAAGACCCTCATTTTTATAAGAATTTTTCTTCTGAAAAGTTTTAAATCTAATTAATTACAGCAGATTAAATCCCTTATAAATATTAAGGTCATAAAACTAAAGCTGATAACCATGTTATACTTTGTGAATTCCCAACTATGTATTAGAAATGTTTAAGTACATCATAGGTTCTATTCACAATGGATAAATATATGGAATCATTATACCTAGAAAAATTTCTGTCTGTGTGTTTGTCTATTTGTGGGAAGACAGGGTAGGAAACACTTAGAAGAAGAACATTGCATGGATTAAAAGAAGATATGACTTTTTTGATATTCTTTTCTTATAACAGGTGAATGGGGGAAATGGAATAAAAGGTCACTGGGCGGTAGAGTTGATCTTTTCCACTGCAGGTTAGATGGCAGGCATAGGCTTTGTTTTGCAATTCTGGCTACAAAACTAGTATTGAGGCCAATACTAGTAGTCAGCCAGAACTACTTCCATTCAGATAGTTGAGCAAAATCTGATTCTGCTCAAAAGCAGATGTTATACATTTTTTGTTTATTTTATACATGACTTACAGGCTATTTTTCCATGTGGTGGTTGGGGAAGAAATAAAGACTTCTAATATCATTTCTTATCTTGACCAAATAAAAAAAATTTTTAAGGGAGATAATCCAGGACTTCATAGTGAAGAAAAGAAGGGCAATACCAGGCAATACTGTCTTAAATCTGTATCTATCTATCTATCTATCTATCTATCTATCTATCTATCATCTATCTATCTTTTCATCTACATGTATATCCCTTTACATAGGCACGTTTTAATTTTTAGTAGTTTGTAGTGCCCACCACATTTCCACACTCAAGTAAATTATATAAAATATTTCATTAAATGTAAACTACTTTTATTCTCCTTTTGTTAAATCCATTGCCTTAGTTCATTTTTTTCTCCTAAAGCAAACTTGAGAGCAAGTAGTTTACTTTGGAGGCTACTGAGGAACTATAACTGAAGGAGTAGAAGAATTGAGAGAGTAAAGGGAGAAAAATCAATCAAACATATGTTAACTTATCATCCTGGGCAGATGAACTTAATCCCTCTAAGAATTCTATGAAGAACCATAGAGACTGAGCTTCAGAATTATACCACTACAGAATGAAAGTTGTTATCTACTGACTTTGTAACCGCATTAAAGTTTACTCCTAAGAAAGTTAGCTCTTCTTTATTTAACAGATTACATGGAACTGTTGAGTGGTATTGGTAGTGTCTGACAAAGGAAAGTCTGCAGTTTTCACATGGAAGCTAGAAAGTACAGGGAACTGTCCACCACAGCTGTGCTGAAATCCAGGAATGTAGTGCAGTGCAGCACAAGTGCCTGCCACAACTGTTTTGTTGTTGTTGTTGTTGTTGCCATTATTTATTTTTAATAATGATGTATTTATATATGTCATTCAATTTCTAAGTATGTTCATTTTAAAGTTACCCAGATCTGCAATGAAATCCTGGTTTGGCATTGACAACCTATATGACTTTTAACAAGTTACCAAATCTTTCTGAATCTCTGTTTCATAATCTGTAAAATGATACTAAAAAATTGTGCTAACAATAGTACCCACCTCTTTAAAATTGTGAAAAAGAAATGACATATCATGTAAACAACTCTCAATTCACTGTTTGGGAGAGAATAATTACTCATCATTATTATCCCATGTTATGTCTAAGATGGATGCAGGAGTTTCAAATCAGTCAGACTTAGTGTTAAATAACGGCTCATTGGTTGTGTGACTTTCAAAAAGCAATTTAACACTTTGAATTACTAACCCCTTTACCTAATTTCAAAATGCATTACAAAGCTATAGTAATCAAAATAGCATGGTACTGGAATAAAAACTGACATATAGACCAATGTAATAGAATATAGAGCCCAGAAATACATCCAGACATTTTCAGTGAAATAATTTTCTGCAAAGTGCCAAGAACGCACAATGGGGAAAGGACAGTTTCCTCAATAAATGGTGTTGGGAAAACTGAATACTCATAAGCATATGAACAAAATTAGATCCTTACCTCTCACCATATGAAAGATCAATTTAAATGGATTAAAGAGTTAACTGTAAAACTCAAAACTATGAAATTGCTAGAAATAAAACATAGGGAAAAAGCACCATGACATGGGTCTGGGCTATAATTTTTTTGGACAACACCTCAAAAGCACAGACAACAAAAGCAAAAATAGACAAATGGACAAATGGGATACATCAGCATAAAAAGCTTCTGCACAGCAATAAAAACAATCATCAGACTGAAGACACGACCTACAGGACAGGAGAAAATATTTGCAAACTATATACTGATAAGGGGTTAATATCCAAAATATAAAAAGAACTCAACTCGATAGCAAAAAAAAGAACATAATTTTAAAAAGCGCAAAATACCTAAATAGACATTTCTCAAAAGACATGTGAATGACCAACAGCTATATGAAAAAATACTCAACATCAGTAATCATCAAGGAAATGCAAATGAAACCACAATGAAATATTATTAACCTCACTTTAGTTAAAATGGCTATTATCAAAAAGACAAAAGATAACAAGTGTCAGTGATAATGTAGAGAAAAGCAAACCCTTAAACACTGTTGATGGGAATGTAAATTAATACAATCATTATGAAAAAACAAATGGCTTTTTCTATAGAAAAAGCTGCAACAAAATCAAAATATAACTACAATATGATCCAACAATCCCACTAAAATGTAATAAAATACGAATTTTATAAGCTTGTTGTGACAAATAGTTAAGATATTGCAGATAACATTTTACATGTAAATCAAATAGCCTGGTCCATAGTGGGCAGTCAGTAGATATTAGTTGTCTTTCTCTTTCCCTCTGCTGCAGTATTCATTAATTTGTACATTCGTACATTACACACCCATTCAATAATGCTAGTCTCTGGGATTATAAAGACGTGATATTGTTTATTTTTTAATTGGAAATAGTTCACAGCCTAGTGGGACGCATATAAACATAAGAAAATGATGGCAGCGGTGGTGCGTCTGGAGCAGCCGCTGAGAGGATCCCAGCTGCAGTGGGAGAGGCATAGCCGGGGCTGCATGCTCTGCAGAAACGGGACTGGGAACAGGTGATCCCAGTGAGAGTCCCGCGCCCTACTGAGTTGGTGGGACAGGAGCCCGCACTCTTGGGTGCAGCTGCAGCTGCTCAACCGCAGCTCCAGACATGTGCTCTCTCGGCCCCGGAAGCCCTGTGCCCCTGCAGGCTCAGAAGTGCCTGCTCTTGCTCTCTGGCCTCTCCGCGCTTCCGGCGCCCAGTCTGGTGCAAAGCAAAGTTGTAGCTGAGCCCTCACTGTCGTGACCTGGCCAGATATGCATGCCCTGGGGCATCGCTGACACGCCAGCCCATCTGCAGCCTCGGTCCCCTCAGGACTTTGGACCCCAAGTAGAGTGGGAAGGAGGCTGGGAGACTGAGGGCGGCTCAACTTGGGCTTACAGGCACCTCTTGATGTGGACAGCCTGGGCACCGTGGATGGCATGTTGATGGCGGTTATGACAGCAGCACCCATCTGGAGTGGCTGCTGCAAAGACCAGGATGCAGTGGGGGAGGTGCAGAGGGAGCCTGCAGGAACAGGGAACCGGCAGAAACCCCACCCCTTCTGAGTTGGAGAGGAAGGAGCCCTGCCCTCCCGGGCACAGCTGCAGCCACCCAGCAGCGGTTGTAGACCTGAGCATTCCTGCACTCTCAGGGGCTCAGGAAGCCCCCCTTACCTCCACAGACTTGGAAATGGCTGCTCCCACTGCCCAGCCTCTCCTGGCTCCTGGGTGCCTGCTCTGATATTGAAGCAAAGTTGAAGCCGAGCCTGGGCACTGTTGGGACCCAGCCAGGTGTGTGTGCACCCAGGGCAGCACCGACACACCAGTCCCCTGTGGCTTCCGCCTTCTCCAGACTTTGGGCAGCAAGGTGCATGGGAGGGAGGCTGAGAAGGGGCTGAGGGCGGATCAGCGCAGAGAGGAACATGGGAGGAAGCCTGAGACGTGGCTGAGGGTAGATCAGCGCAGGCCTGTAGGCGTCCCTCAGCACCAACAGCGTGGGCACCAGGGTCAGCAGGTTGATGATGGTGGGAGGCAGACAGCCTCCTGGGCAGAAAGGGCGGGTCGCTGGTGAAGTGCCACCTTCAGGCCTGGGATGACCTGAAGCCTAGGGGTGTAAGACTTATAATGCTTTTTCTGGGCCCACCCATGACCGCCCATGGACCAATCAGAATGTACTTTCTTCCGTTTGAACATCATAAAACCCCGGATTCAGCCAGACTCAAGGCAGACATCAGAATGACCTGCCTGCAGACAGGGGCTGCCCCCTGTGGGTCTCCACTCAGGTAAGAGTTGAGCAGATGTCAGGACGACCTGCTTGTAGACAGGAGCTACCCACTGTGGATCTCCTCTCAGCTGAGAGCTGAGCAGATGTTGGGATGACCCGCCTGCAGAAAGGAGCTACCCACTGTGGGTCTCTTCTTAGCTGAGAGCTGAGGAGACATCAGGACAACCATCCTGTGGATAGGAGCTATCTGCTATGGGTCTCCTCTTTGCTGAGAGCTGCACACTCAATGGGACGACCTGCCTCTGGATAGGAGCTGCCCACTCTGGGTCTCTTGAGAGCTGAACTGTCACCCAGTAAAGCACCTCTTCACCATACCCTCCAGTTGTTCGCAAATTTCCTTCTTCCTGGACACAGGACAAGACTTGGGACCCACCAAATGGCAGGACTAAAAGAGCTGTAACACAAACAGGGCTGAAACATGCCCCTCACTTGCCATGTCACTGGCAACACGAAGGAGAGAAGAGCTGCATTCCTTTGGGGAGTCCAAACCTAAGAGCTCCCTGAGCCAGGGCTGTGACACCCTCTGTGGGGCTCTGTGGCTCCTGGAAACTCCAAGCTTCTGGGTGCCACCATGTTCCCTGGTGCCAGCAGTGGAGGCCACTTGTAGTACGCCTGGTCCAGCCACAGCTTTGCAGGGAGCTGGCGCCAATGCTGGCACCTGGAGCTTCCTGCCCCATGGCAGCTGGTGTGCCTGGCTGTGTGCAGCACCTGGACCGCTACACTTACTTGCTCACTGCTCCATAACTGGCTGGCCCTTGGCAGGTGTGGGATCCAGACTGGTAGCATATGCTGAGCACAGCCTCCCAGGCCAAGTGGGAGGAATGAGGCCAGCAGGCCCGAGTAAAACTGGGGCAAAAGCGCCACTGGCCACAAAGCTTTCTGGCCTGCAAAGTGACACCCCAAGGATCCTGTGACAGCAGCAGGAGGCAGACAGGTTCCTAGGCAGGGAGGGGAAGGTCCCCAGTAAAACCCCACCTTCAAACCAGGAATGGCCTGAAGCCTGGGGGCTGGGCTGCCAGTTCCGGGTGAAGTCCACAACCTGGAGTAAGAACTTCTTTGATACCTCACATCCAGTTGGATGGTGCTTTATCCAGGTCTGCCCATGGCCACCCATGGACCAGTTGGCACAGACATCCTCCATTCTGAGCACATAAAAACCCCAGACTAAGCCAGATTCAGACACTCATCGGGATGACCTGCCTGAGGATAGGAGCTCCCTACTTCGGGTCTCTTGAGAACTGTTATGTCACTCAATAAAGCTCCTCTCTGCCTTGCTCACCCTCTAGCTGTCTGTGTAAACTCATGCTTTCTGGATGCAGGACAAGAACTTGGGACTCACTGAATGGTAGGAATGAAAGAAGCTATAACAGTTCCTGGCCAGCTCACCAAGCTGCAGGCGGTAACACCCTCCTGGACTGTGGGAGTGAAGAGTGGTGAGCCTTCTGGTGACCCAGACCTCAGGATTCCCCAAGCCAGAGCTGCTATAACACTATAGCCCTCCTGTCCTCTGCTGGTGCCAGGTAGCCATCCCACATGATGGGAAGCAGTGGCAGGGCTGGACCAACCCAAGCGCCACAGGCCAGAGTGGGGCAGTGAAACTGAAAGAGCTGTAACACAAACAGGCTGAAAGATGCCCCCCAAAAAGACACTCCCCTCTTCCCCCCGCTCTTCCCTGCCCTGCTCACCACACTACAGGCAACAAGAATGAGAGAACTGTGGCCCTTCTGGGAGCCCAGACCCCAGGGCTTTCTGAGCCAGGGCTGTGACATGCTGTAACACTCTCTTTGGGACTTTGTGGTTACTGGTGTCTCCGAGCTTTTGGTTGGCACCATGGTCCTTGGTACCTGCAATGGAAGCTGCTTGTGGTACACCTGGTCCAAGCCACAGCCTCGCACAGAGCCAGCACCTGTGCCAGCTTCTGGAGCTGCCTGCCCTGTCACAGCAGCCAACATGCCTGGCTGTGCACAGTAGCCAAACCCCACACTTACTCATTCACACACCCCTCACCACTCCATGCCTGGTTCGCCCTTGGCAGGCATGGGATCCAGGCCAGTAGTGCAAGCGGAGTGCAGCCCACTGGACCAAGAGCCCAGTGGAGTGAGCAAAACCTGAGCAGAGGTGCCGCTGGCCACAGAGGTTTCTGGCTGGCGAAATGATACATTAAGGATCCTGTGGAAAATATATATTTATTACAATATAATACATATTCTGAGAAATTCAAAAGGAAGTGTCTACCTGGCCAAGGAGTACCAAGAAAAGCATCAGAGAAGAGTTATTATTTGAGGCCAGTTTGGGAGGGCATATAATTTTACTCCTTTCCTACCTTATTCTATTAGTTGATAAATATGTTTTGTCTATGCCTCATGAGGAGGGAAACTTTTTGATAAAATGGAAAGCACCCTAGCATGGGAATCAGGCTCACTCGGTCCTAATTCTAGCTCTGATACTCATCAGTTGAAGGAGAATAACCTCTGTGGACCACACTCTTCTTCCATAGCAGCTTTTTCTAATTCACGACTCCAACACACCAGTCATAATATGGAAAATTACGAAAATAAATAATTAAAAAATATAGTTGGACAGATAGATTATTTTCATGTCCCTTAGTTATTCTGTATGACCCAACAAATAAACTCCTCGAAATGTAAAGGTAGAAATTGATGGTCTTACAAAAGTGTTTGTGATTACTTTGCTAGAAGCTTTGATATTGAGATCATGTTATTAAACACCAAAGGGCATTCAGACAAAAGATATCTTGGAGATAAAATTAATTCACCTGTCTCTCTATAAAAAGAAAAAAATTTTTATTTTTTTCATTTTACTTGTCTATATCTTAAAATTTGAATTATTTTGTTCATTGCTGGCATTCATCATTTCATCTCAAAAATTCACTTCATAAATGAAATACTTGTCTTTCATAATTCACCTTATAGTTAGATTTAGAAATTATAATTAAGTGTCTTAATCTCCTTTCAAAATTTATCACTGTAAAAAAGTTTTGATGAAATATTAATTTTCCCCTTTCTATAAATGAGAGGTGAATGCTAGCCTAGTCAAACAAAAACCTAAAACCAGAGTGCCTTTCCTTGAAGTTCATTAAGTTTTCTTCTTTCCCTAAGGTGAATTCTGTTTTCCAATTCTATAGGTTGCTTTTTTTAATTTTTCAAATATAAGTGACAAAAATTCTGTAAGATATAAAGCATGATGTCTGTCTAAATATTAACAAGAAGTTAGAGAGTGTATTCAAACGGTGAAGTGACTTCTTTTTCTATGTCATAGAATCTGGATATGCTACAGCAAAGGTGTGGTGAACTGTAAAAAATAAAAAATACTACTTAGCCAACTTCCTGAAAACAGAATTTTCTCTTCCTCTCAGAGGGTCAGCCTTGAAGCAGCCAAGTTTTTCTCTAGAGGTTTTAGGTGTTACCCTGCTGCTGTTCTTTGCTGATAAAAATTTGAATAATACTCTCTTCAGTATTGTGTAGAGGATTTTACCTCTTGTACATACATAGTAAAATAAAACATGGCTTGTTTGAGAGTCATGTGTTTAGGTTGATGCATTATTTACATAGAAAAACAAGAAACATTTCTTGAGAAATAAGCACTAGTGTTGGTTTCTTTTCACTTTTAGATGGTGAAAAGAAAGCTATGGGAGAATCATTATTGAAAGTAAAACATTCATGGAAATTAAAGAAAAATGAGTGAAAGAAATTGAAAAAATAAGAACCATGGTAGTATTAGCAACTATTCATAAAAAAAAATTTATTTCTGAAAAATTCATTAGGTGATAAAAGATGCAAAGAGACTTTGCTGACACATATTGAAACAGGAAGAAAGAACTGTGTGAAGGAAAATGGAAGCCTGTGTGTAAACACAAAGAAACCCCAAGGAGGTATATTTATGAGAAGAGAAAATTCAGGATAAAAGAAAAAGAAAAGTACTAAGTATGAATACCTTAACCACATGCTCTCACTTCTTTGGCAGCAATCCCTGTCAGAGTTCTCATTCTGTCTGCTACTCAGGAAACCTGCCTCAGAGAACAGAGTGGCTGATTACCCTGTCTTAGGCCCTGTTATGTCCTGCTGTGTTCTAATATCCCAGTGGGTATCTGTGGTAGTAGTTGATTTTGGAAATCGGTAGGGATTTGTGTAGGTACACACATTTGAAATTCACCCTCCTTTAACACGATGCTATTATACTTTAAGCAGAGGAATTCACACAGCTAATTTTTGAAAGGCAGTGCTCCTGGGTAGAAAAATTGGATTTGATTTGGAGTTAATGAATGATGAATTTGTTCTATGATAATGTATCATTAGAGTCATGCTAAGAAGGGAAGTTTCAAAGGATCATTAAAAAACTCAACTTGCCAGACTAAGTTGTTTCACTTTAATTGAGAACCCTCATTTGAAGTATAGTTCCTCACAGGGAAACAGTGCACACAGTACACAGAGTGCAAATAAAAGCAATTAGACCTACTACCTTGGCCTTCATGGGGTCTGCCTTCTCGGAATGCCTGATTAAATTCTGGTCTCAAAGGCAGGCTCTGATGCAGTCACTTAACTCTTTGTCCTTGAAGTAGGAAGGGTTGTAATGTCTGTTTCCAAGGAGGCTGGGGGATGAGAAGAGTAACTGACCTATGAAAAAGGAGCAATGCTTTTTCCCCAGTAGACTCTCTATATATGTAATAACCCTATATATATACTGTTGCTTCATATTATTCCCTTTAAAATTCCTAGATACATGTAGGAATCATAAAAATGATATGCCAAGATTGCAACTATTTCTCTTTATCAAAGGGACCATTTTGTTTGGCAAAGTTCTTAACCATCTATAAGAGACTCCCTAAATTTAGACCCCAGAATTTTCCTTGGAGAAGTAAAGCTAGGCTATTACAGTCCCTCCCAAAATATTTTAACATTGTTATTGTCTCATTAATAGCACAGTTTATTGGCCAGGTGCAGTGGCTCACACCTATAATCCCAGCACTTTGGGAGGCCAAGGAGGGTGGATCACCTGAGATCAGGAGTTCGAGACCAGCCTGGCCAACATGGCGAAACTCCATCTCTACTAAAAAATACAAAAACTAGCTGGGTGTGGTGGCAGGCACTAATCCCAGCTACTCAGGAGGCTGAAGCAGGAGAATTGCTTGAACCTGGGAGGTGGAGGTTGCAGTGAGCTGAGATCACAGCATCACACTCCAGACTGGGCAACAGAGTGAGACTCTGTCTCAAAAAAAAAAAAAACAAACAAACAAACAAAAAACCAATTTATCTTGTTTGTTATTATTCCTATTTTGCAAATCAGATTTATGGGAAATCTATATAAACAGATGAACAGCCTTTCAGTAACCCAGGGTTTTTCTAAATAATTCAGGGTTAAATGTAGCTGTTCTTCTGATGAGATATTCTCCTTGAAAATCAACCTGATATCTTCACTTCTACTCTTTAATAAACTCTTTCACCTCACCTATTCCAGTCTGGCTTCCGCTCTCCTTCTTCATCACATACACTCTTATACTCATATCCACACTCTTTCTATCTCTTTCTATTGAAACTACTCCTACATAAATCAACCATGACTTCCTTTTTGCCAAATCAAATATACACTACTCTATCTTGGGTTTTCTTGACCTCTCAGCAATATTCAGCTAGTTGACTGCTCCCTTCTCTTGAAACACTCTCTTTTCTTGCTCTTCATGACTTCACAGTCTCCTGACACTTATTCCATCTCTGAAGAGTTACTCCTTCTCAGAATTCATTACTGGATTATTCTACTGTAGCTTATGTCTAAATGTTGAAGTTTCTAAAACCTTACCACCTCTTTCTCTACAGTCTCTTCTTTGATGTCTCATGTATCTCCATGACTTACAATAAACAAAAGGACTTCTTTTTTCGGCTGTAATGTATAGAGTTTGGAAGTCATCACTCCCTTAAAATAACGAAAAACTGAAAATCAATAATTTTTCTGAAATCTACGAAAAAATTGAGGTCACCAGGACAAACGCCACCCTAAAATGTGAAGACATTACTGAATTCTGAGAGTGATAACCAAGAGCTGTTTAACTGAAGCAGAAACCTCTGGAGCCACAAAATGATAGTAATAACTGAATGATTACTTTGACAAATTGTTAGAGGCTGAGTGTGGAGTAGCTGAACAAGGAGAAACTCCTAGGGGTCACAGCCATAAAGGGCCCACCATTCTTTTATGAGTTTTACCTTCAGAAACTCCACAAGTTTCTAAGGTGAACAGTCAAAAAACATCCCTCTGTGGCTTTGGAAGAAGAAGAAGAATCACTTAAAAATAGGTGCAGAGTATTCCCCATAACAGAGGCCTAACTGGGGCTAAAGGACGTATGAGAGTCTCACTCACTTGGGGAAAGGATATTTCTCTGTCTCCAGCCCCCTTGTACCTTCCTGTTTTACCTAAGGGAGAAGTGTGGCAAGCAAGAAATGTTTATGAAAGTACAGCCCAAATGCACTGGAAAAGACAGAGATTTATTAGTAGGATTATGCAATGCTTCTCCTCACCAAAACCTCAACAGAACATTAATTGAGCTCCAGTAAAATAACAGTGAACTAGAGTTGCAAGAGCTGCAAAATTCAGACTCTCTCTGAGGAGGAGTATTTAGGGAAGCCCAATATCACAAAGGGAGATGTAAGTAAGGATACAGAGAAAATATAAATATATAGATAAGAAACTTGAATTTACATCAAGAAAATAAGAACATTAGGGAAGGCACAAATAAAGACCAATAAAAGCTTTTATTTTCTGATTCTTAATTGATCTAAAACTTTGCTTAAAGTAATAAAGTAAGAATATATTGAGGGATGATTACAACATACAGTTATGTGAAATGAATGACTGACAGAAATGTCATTAGAGATGAGTGAGAGGAACTGGCAATATTATGTTATAAGGTAACTTCACTACATATAAAGTGTCTGAGAAACATATATTAGAAACTCTAGAGCAACTACTAAAAAATTTGAAAGAAGTATAATTACTGGATTAAGAGAGGAGTGAAAATGTAATCATAAAAAAATGCTACATTAAAACATAGACGACAAAAAATAGGGAGATTTTAAAAAGAGGAAAAATGCAACAAAAAGAAAACAGTTACAAATATGGTAGATTTTAATCCAACTATATCAATAATCATGTAAAAACATGGGATGCAAAGCTGATGCAATGGAAAGGAGAAATAGGCAAATCCACTATTATAGTTGGGGTCGTCAATACCCCTCTACTCGTAATTGATAAATAAAGCAGGTAGAAAATCAGTGAGGATATAGTTGACCTGAACAGCTCTGTCACCCAACTTCATCTGGTCAACATTTATGGAACTCTCCATCTAACAACAGCATAAATTCTTCTCAAACTCACATGGAACATATGTCAAGACAAACCACATTCTGGGCCATAAAACATACCTTAAAAAATTTGTTGGTTATAACAAAAACAGTGCTTAAAGAGAAATTTATATAACTGAATGCATATTTTAGAAGAGAAGGAAGCTCTAACATCTATTATCTAAGTTTCCACCTTAGGAACTAGGAAAGAAGAGCAATATAAATCTAAAGTAGGAAGAAGAAAATAAATTATAAAAAATTAGAGCAAAAGTTATAAAATTGTAAAAACGAAAGCTATAGAGAAAAACCAATAGAGCCAAAAGCTGGTTTTTCGGTTTGTTTGCTTTTAAGATCAATAAACATCTAGTCAGGCAATCAAGAAATAAACGAATAAACCATGAATTACTAATATCAGTAATGAAAGAGGGGTCATAATTACTGATTCTAGGACCACTAAAAGGATAATAAAGTAATAATATAAACAGTTTTTCACCCAGAAATTCAATAACCCTAATGAGATTGACCAATTTCTTAAAAGACACAATCTACTAAAACTCACACAAAGAGAAAGAGACCATTTGAATAGACCAATATCTATTAAATACATTGTGTTAATAATTTAAGCCTTTGACAAATGAAAGCATCAGGCCTAGATGGTTCTGGTGGTGCATTATACCAAATATTTAAGGACTTCATGGTACCAATTCTCCACATTCTCTTCCAAAAACAAACAAGATAAAAACACACCTCAGTGTCACTATGGAGCTCAAACCTACATCTCTACCCAAGACATTTCCTCTGAGCTCAAGATATATGTATATCCAATTCCCTACTTTAAATTTCTTCTTTTATGTCTCATAGACATCTCAAATTTATTGTCCAAAACACACTTTAGAAAAAATATTTTACCCCTCTTAACCATTATTTTTCCCTCTGCTGAATCTAAGTATGCAATATCAATTATAAAAACCTAGGAATCATGCTTGATCCTACAAGTAAGTCATTTTTATATTAAATCTAAAAGTAGATTCTGTGAATTTTACCTCCCTTATACCTCTTAAATTCATGCACTGACCCCATCTTGTTCTTGCTGGAATCACCATCATCACTCTTTTTGGTTTATCCCTTAATATACTAACTGGTGTCAATCCACCCTTTCTTGTTTCTCTAATACACTCTATACTACAATGAGAGGACTTGCCTTTAACATCTCCCTACATAAAACAATTCAATAATTCTTCTCATTACACTTATATCAAAATTCAATATCTTGTTGTGATCTTTAAAGTCCTATATGATTTACCTGTTATTGATTTCTTTCCAACCCTTGTTTTTCACTAGACTCCAACCACACTGGAATTCTCTCAGATCCCAAACACCACAAGAGATCAACACATTCTGTTTTCTTTGCAACAGGATAGTCAACCCAAACTTGATCCACTCCCTTCATATAACTAACTTCTCATGCTTCGGGATTTAGCTTAAATAAAGCTTCCCAATAAAAGTCTTTCCTGACCATCATTTCTAAAGAAAGTTTTTTCACCCTAATTCTCTTTCTCAGCAACTTATTACTGAACTCATAGAAATGGATTACAAACTGCATTTATTTTGTTTGCTTCCTCATGTTGCTTGTCTCCTCCAATAGAATTTAAATTTCAGGAGTGGAGGAACAATAGTGGATTTGTTCACATTGTATTCCTAGTTTCTAGCACAGACTATGACACTTAACATTCCTAGTCTGTGTTTGTTGAGTCAATGAATGTGTCTAGAAAATTACAGTTGACCCTTGAACAATGCAAGGGTTCAACAACCCTCACACAGTCAAAAATCCACTTATAACTTCTGACTCCCCCAAAACTGAACTATTAATAGCCTACTGTTGACTCTTTTCTGCTTCTTGGGAAAACTTCCAGTATAGTGGTGCTTTGTATGGGTGCCATGCTATTATTCCCTAAATATTGCAATAAATAAAATGAAAAATACACAAGAACGGTGAGAGATAACTTTACTGCTATACTGGAGAAAAGAAACTGCCAAGTGGAGGTGATTAGTGTCGCATTGCATTTTAAGCTAATACTTGCAAGGCTTGAGCTCACTGCAATAGAAACAGGAGTTGGCTACAAAATTACTCCAGTAGTACAGTATGCACTATAGTTAACTTATGCAATTATAACTTTTTTTTTTTTTTTTTGGAGACAGAGTCTACCTCTGTCACCCAGGCTTGAGTGCAGTGGTGTGATCTCGGCTCACTGCAAAATCTGCCACCCAGGGTTAAAGCGATTCTCCTGTCCCAGCCTCCCGAGTAGCTGGAATTACAAGCGTGCACCATGCCCGGCTAATTTTTTCATTTTTTTAGAGAAGGGGTTTTGCCATGTTTTCCAGGCTGGTCTTGAACTCCTGACCTCAAATGATCTGCCCACCTTGGCCTGCCAAAGTGCTGGGATTACAGGCGTGAGCTAGCAAGCCTGAATCTTTACGTTTGCTTATATTTCTCTTGACTCTGAATGGCTCCATGTACAGTCTGTTTGTATGCTTAAGTTTTGATGAATTTTAACTTTTTGTAATAGATTTGTATATATTATGGTAGTACATGATGAAATAGACTAGTTTCTACCTACATTTTATGCATTCATGACATAGCTAACTTTTATAAATGTTTTCAATACTTCTAGGGTACACAGTTCATCTGTGAAATTTTTCAAATTGCCAGAAATCTCCAAAAATATTTTCCTATATATATAAACAGGAAAATATATATTTCTCTCTCTCTCTCTCTCTCTCTCTCTCTCTCTCTCTCTCTCTATATATATATATATATATATATATATATATATAAAAATCTGCATGTAAGTGGACCCACACAGTTCAAACTCATGTTGTTGAAACATCAACTATATATATTAACTTGACTTGATAGCACCAAAGAGAAACAAAATAAAAATTTTCCCAGTTCAAAATTAAGTGAATTATTTGTGTACAAATTCCTAAATTCTCCAAATATATGTTTGGTATAGTATTTTTGCATCACTGTTGTGGAAAAAGGAATCAATGAAATTATTATAAACAATGTAGATAATTTATATTTAAATTTGTCCAGTATACTAGCCAGAAATTACTCCTGCCCTTAAAAGATTTATATTACACCTGAGAAAACATGATGAATGTTCATAAATTTTTCTGAAAGAGATCAGCAGTTGGCAGCTTCCTGAATCTTCTTTTAATATGAAAAGTATCTGTTTATTCCTCTTATTCACTTCATTCTCTACATCAACATGTAACAGAGTCTGAGTTCTGGTGACAAATCATTGGCTACTTACTAGTTACATAATCTTAGGTACATTTCTCAATCCTATTGATCCTCAGTTTCTCATCTGCAAAATGGGATTAATAATAATATTCCCAATGTTATTTCCTTTTCTTTAAATACATTACCTTTATGTGTAATGCATTTAATGTTGGAATAGTTATTTTAGAGAAACTAATATCTTTATTATTAAAAATATCAAGAAATACAAAAATAGAGCTAAAATTACATAAAATCTCACTGCCCTGGAGTTACCTGTCTAATCTCCTGTATTCATTCCTGAGGACTTCATTCTGGATTTATCTATGCAAACAATGAGATAGATAGATAGATTGATGTAGTTTAAAAGATCAATAGACAGGATCTATTAATCCCTGAGAACCATAAAAGCACTAGTTCCCCCAAATCCTGCTTATACTAAGGATAATATTATGTAAATATTAAGAATTTGGAGTCACTATGTTTTAGCCCCATTTTATTATAGACAGTTTTAAATACTCCCTGCCTTAAAAATAAAAGTATTCCTCTTTGTGTTCTCCTACCTTTACTCCAACTTTTTCAATTAACTATGTAATTTTCCTTTCTCAAAATTTTTAGTACTGACTTTATACTTTTTAATCCAATTTCCTCAAGTTGTTTTGTCTCCATTCGATACTTAAAAGCTCGCTACTTTAGATTTTTATTGCTATGTAACAAATCAACACAAATTTAGTAGCTTGAGACAGCACACATTTATTATCTAGCATTTTCCATGGGTCAATTGTCCATATGTGGTTTGGGTTCAGAGTTTCACAAGACTGAAATCCAGGTTTGGCTGCCTAAGTACTCTTCCAAGCTCAACTATTATTGGCAAAATTCAGTTTCTTATGATTGTAGAACATGGCTCCCTATTATCCTGCTAGGGGTTGCCCAGAAACCAGGCACTCTTTTCCATAGGCAGATCCTAACATGTTTGTTTCCTTTCTTTCAGCTCAGCAGAACATGTCTCTGCAACTGCATATTCTTTAAAGGGTACCCCTGATTAAGTTAGGCCCACTCAGTTCATCTCTCTTTTGATTAACTCAAGGCCAACTCATTAGTAACCTAATCAAGGAAGAGATATCCGATCTCATTTAATAGTGCCACCCACACTCAAGGGCAAGTGATTACATAAAGCATCTAAACCTAGTAAGGAGAATATCGAGGGCAATGTTAGAATTCTGCCTACTACACTCATTTCAAATTTGTTTTATTCCTGACTCCTCATTTGATTCACTTATTGATTACTTGAACTTCATCAATAAGTAGTTATTTCAAGAAAATATTATAGGAGTTATAATCCCCGAGTTCTTTCTTGCCTAAGAATGTCTGTCAGGTGTTGCTTTTACTATAATGGCTCAGCCAAAAAATATTCTTAGATGATTTTTGTTTTCCCTCAGAATTTTATATACTTTCCAGATGATACTGAAAGTTGTTGTGGAGAAATCTGTGATATTTATTATTTCCTGCTTCCCACTCATTGCAGGAGACAGGACTTTTTTCCTGCCTAGATGTCTAGAGAAGTCTTTCTTTTTTGAAGTTTATAATCTACCTAGGATATGTTTTAATATTTGTCTTAATTTGGGAGTATTTCCTCCTTGTATAGTTCTTAACAGTTTTTCTCTTCCATTAACTAGATTCGCTCCTCCAAGAATAGCAATTGTTGTTACACTACATCATCTGTGGCCTCAAATCTGTCAACCTTCTGTAATTTTAAAAATTTCTTTGTTTACTTTTCTTCATTGAGTTTATTATGCTGTCTTTCCCCCAGAAGAGAAATTCAATATTTTACTCTCTCTTTCCTGACTCTTCTTGTTTCTAATTTATTTATTAGAGCTATAAATGTTGATATTTTGAACTTGGTTTGTCTTACTAGCACAGAAATTTCCCTTTTCATTTTATGCTTGTTTAGTGCCTTGTCTACGACCTGTTGTTTTATTGATTTTGTATTTTTATTAAGTTCTTTATAGCTCAAAACCTACTTGGAAAGTTTTATTCTCTTTCTTGGACAATATATTTTCCCTACTGGGTACTTCATTTGTCTTGCATTGCTACATTCCTTTTACCCACTGTTTTGCCATGTTTATTTAGTTGCTGTCCATTTTTAAAAGCCTTGCTATTGGTAACAAATGTATTTCTAATATGGGTGTTAATTTTCTCTGACATAGTGAGGGTGAAATATTTTTGACACTGTCACAATTTATCCAAACTACAGATTCAGGACAGGATCATGTTTTCTATCCATTAATCTGCATTGTGAGAGTTTGTTGTGTTGGAAAGGGGAGGGGAACACCTGAAAATTACAGCACCACTTCTAAAAAATAACTGCCCTATTTTACCGTTGGAATTTTTTTTGAATGTCCTATAAATAACATAATCCATACAACCAGGGGTATTTCCTGCTCTGAAAATCTTTGCCTCGTTGGAAAAGGAAATTTCCTAGAGAACATTTTTAGTTCTACTGAGATCCTGTTCTCAAGGGCTTCATTGTGACTTTTCCCTACACTGTCTATCACAGTCACAGTCGTCATCTCTCCAGACTGGAGCTCTCAGAAATACCAGAATTTTGTCAGCTCACCTTCTATTTTCAATTACCTTTCTGGCATGAGGATTGGGGTGACAGCAAAATTAGGAGCTGCTTTGATATATAATCTTCTGTTTTGATATAGAATCTTCTGTTTCTTTCCTTTGGCCTTCGTTTTTCAAAGTTTATAGCATAACATTTTACCACTTTGTATTCACTATATGTTAGGAAGGCTGAAATCTGTGATGAAGCTTTGCTCAGCCATCCTTACCTAAAAGTTTCCATTCCTTCATATTTTAAAAAGCAGAATTAAAATATTGAAAACATCTAAATATCTAAGTGTCACTAGTTAGAAAATTGCTAGATACACATGTAGCCATAGAAGTATGAGTAGGAAGAAATACTCATGGGTTGATAGGAAAAGATCTCCAGGGTTCAGTGTTAGGTGGAATAGGAGAAATACAGAACATAGTGCATAATAAGCTTTGTGTCAAAAAGGGAGGTGGCTTAAAGATGGTATGCTGATGTGCTAATATATGCTTAAGTATCTCTGGAAAGATGCACAAGTGATTAATGGGGATGGAAGACTTTATATTGTACACTACATACTATTTTGAATTTTGTACATATGAATGCCTATTCAAAAAATTTTTGAGTTAATTTTTTGAAAATATGCATTATTGTTGCATTTATTGTATTCTAGAGCCTGCTAAAGTTGTCTTAATTTCTTAATTTCTCTTCAACCTCAAGCAAAATGTTAAATTAGGAGCCCACCCTACTCAAGCATGACTTCATCATAATTAATTACATCTGTAATAAACTTATATCCAAATAAGTTCACATTGTGAGGTGCTGGGAGTTAGGACTTCAACATATCTGTTTTTGAGTGGGGGATACAGTTTTTTTTGGTGGCGGATAAACATAAAGCCAGACATAAAAATACTAGCATTGTTATGATTCCTCTAACACTGCAGCAATTCTCTTATTAGACAAAACACTGTCATTTGTAAAGCCTTTCAACCATATATTTGTGGCTCACCAAGAAACCGCTTTTAAAAAGAATTTATTTAATGTTGAAAAGATCTCAAATAAAATTTATAAAACATTTATAAGGGATCATGTATATGTCAACCAGGTTAAGAAAGAAGAAATTATTATTTTGAAGGCTCTTATGTGTTTCTTCCTAAAGCCATTCACTTTCATTTCATCTTCTTTGATGAAACTGCTATTCTGAACTTAGGTTTACCATAAATTTGTGTTGTTTAGTTTTGCATGTTTTGTGAAGTTTGTGTTAATTTACTTACTCTCTTTATAATCTTCTTGCTTCTTTTGCCCAAGACTATGCTTCTTGCAACCTGGCATTGTTTACGGATGCCATTTAGGTTTCTCCTTCTATAAAGTGCTTAAGGTTTTTGCCTAGTTTTAGTAGATTATTTGTCTGTCTCTTACTGATTTCTTAAGTACTTTATATGTTCTTAATGCCAATCATTTATCAAATATTTTTGCTGAAAATATTGTCTTCTAATTTGTAAATTATCTTATCACTATAGTATTAATAAACATGTTTTATTTTGTCATTAAATTTATCAAGCTTTTTCTTATATGATCTCTGCTGACTGTGTATGTGTGTGTACATATGTTTAAGAAATTTTTTCTTTACCTTGCTAAAAATATACATCTATATTGTTTAAAAAATATTATTCTATATTGTTTATAAAAGTTCATAGCTTGCCTTTTACATCTAGGTCTTTAAGACATAGAGATTATTTTTTGTACATAATAAGAGGTAGAATTCCAACTCCATTTTTTATTCCATATAGATGATTATGTGTTCTAACTTCTTTTAATCAAGTGTTTTCCCAGTAGTTTGCGTAAATTATGTTTCTGTTTTTTGTGTGTTTCTATGCTCTCTCCTCATTTTACTACCTAATTTGTCTATTTCTTTATCATTCAACTACTGTATTAATTACTGCAGTAATAAATTCTTGATATATGAAAAGGCAAGTCTCCTCACTTTGTTCTATTTCCTGATTAATTGCTTGTTCTTTATTCTTTGCTCATCCATATACATTTTCAAATGAGTTAATCAAATTATACATACGCACAGGCTTGTTAAAATATTTATTAGAATTACTTAAATCTGTTATTACAACAACTGAGACTTTTAATCAATGAACATGATATATATTTCCATCATTTGGTACTTTTTCAATATTTTCAATATGTTTTATTATTTTATCCATTAAGAGCATGCATAGCTTCTCTTTAGTTATTCTCACATACTTTATGTTCTTTGTATTGTTACTGTGATTACCTGTTTTGGCATGTACGTAAATGTGACTGATTTGTAGATATTGATGTTCTTTAGCCAAAAAGGTTGCTAAATTCTGTGATTATTTTATAATACATTTGTATTGATATATTCATAGTGATGTTTAACATAAACAATCATATCATGAAAATAAGGATTTTTTAAATTTTTCTAATTATCACCTATTTTATTTCTTTTTTGCCTTATTATCCTAACAGAGCCTGCCAGAGGTTTATGTACAATTTTGAAAAGTGGACACGGTCATCTTTGTCTTATTCCTGATATTAGAAAGAACATTTTCAAAGTTTAACAGTTAATTATGATGCTTGCTACAGGATTTTGTTTTAGTATATTCCTAGTTTACTACAAATTTTTATCATAAATCAACCTTGATTTTACAAATACTTCTGCCTTTCCTGAATGATTTATATGGGGTTCTCCTTTAGTCTGCTGGTGTAATTATATTGATTGATTGTTAAATGCTAAACCAAAGTTGCATTACAAGATGTTCCCAATATGCTTATGATATGTTATCTTTTTACATAATTCAGAATTTGGTTTCCTAATGTGTTGTTTAAAATTTTTGCAACAAAAATGCATTTTAGCACTTTTCCTTCTACTACCTTTTTTATTTGTTGGTATCAAAGTCATTGTAGACACATAAAATGGGGAGAGTTTCTTCTCTTTCCATATTGCATAAAATATTCTTGACTGTTTTGTATTTAATATTATTTTTCCATTAAATGGTTGGGTACACAATAATAATCTAGTGACTGGAAGTTATTTTACTTCTTTGTTTCTGTGAAAATATGTTTATTTATTATTTTCTTTATTTCAAACTTTTATTTTAACTTCAGGGGTACATGTGCAGGATGTGCAGGTTTGTTAAATATTTAAACCTGTGCCATAGTGATTAGCTGCACAGACCATATCATCACCTAGGTATTAAGCCCAGCATCCATTAGCTATTCTTCCTGATTCCTGATGCTCTTCCTCCTCCCACCCACCATGCTCTGACAGGCCCCAGTGTGTCTTGTTCCCTTCCATGTGTCCATATGTTCTCATCATTCAGTTCCCACTTATAAGTGTGAACATGCTGCATTTGGTTTTCTGTTAGTGTGTTAGTTTCGTGAGGATAATGGCCTCCAGCTCCATCCACGTACCGAAAAAAAAAAAAACATGATCTCATTCCGTATTACAGCTGAATATCATTCTATCATGTAAATGTACCACATTTTCTTTATCCACTCTATTATTGATGGGCATTTAGGTTAATTCCATCTTTGCTATTGTGAATAGTGTTGCAATGAACATACACGTGCATGTGTCTTTATAATAGAATGATTTATATTCATTTGGGTATACACCCAGGAATGGGATTGCTGGGTCAAATGGTATTTCTGCCTCTAGGTCTTTGAGAAATCGCCACACTGTCTTCCACAACAGTTGAACTAATTTACACTCCCACCAACAGTGTAAAAGCATTCATTTTTCTCCACAACCTCGCCAGCATCTGTTGTCTTCTGTTTCATAATAGTCATTCTGACTGATGTGAAATGATGTCTCATTGTGGTTTTAATTTGCGTTTCTCTAGTGATAGTGATGTTGAGCTTTTTTTCATATGTTTGTTGACCACATGTATGTCTTCTTTTGAGAAGGGTTTGTTCATGTCCTTTGCCCACTCTTTGATGTGGTTGTTTGATTTTTTTCTTGTAAATTTGTTTAAGTTCTTTGTAGATGCTGAATATTAGACCTTTGCCAGAAGGGTAGATTGCAAAAAGTTTCTCCCATTATGTAGGTTGTCTGTTCACTCTGATGATAGTTTCTTTTGCTGTGCAGAAGCTCTTTAGTTTACTTAGATCCCATTTGTTAATTTTTGCTTTTGTTGCAATTGCTTTTGGCATCTTTGTCATGAAATCTTTGCTTGTGCCTATGTCCTCAGTGGTATTGCCTAGATTTTCTTCTAGGGTTTTATAGTTTGGGGTTTTACATTTAAGTCTTAAATCCATTGTGAGTTGATTTTTTTATATGGTGTCAGGAAAGGGTCCAGTTTCAATTTTCTGCATATGGCTACTCAGTTCTCTCAGCACAATTTATTAAACAGGAAATCCTTTCCCCATTGTTTGTTTTTGTCAGGTTTATCGAAGATCACATGGTTGTATGTGTGCAGTCTTATTTCTGGGTTCTCTATGCTGTTCCATTGGTTCATGCGTCTGTTATTGTAGCAGTTCTTATTTTGGTTACTGTAGCCTTGTAGTATAGTTTGAAGTCAGGTAGAGTGATGCCTCCAGCTTTGTTCTTTCTCGTAAGATTGTCTTGGCTGTTTGAGCTCTTTCTTGGTTCCATATGAATTTTAAAATAGCTTTTATTTTCTAATTCTGTGAAGAATGTCAATGGTAGTTTAATGTGGGTAGCACTGAATTTATAAAATGCTGTGGGCAGTATGGCCATTTTCACAATATTGATTCTTCCTATCTGTGAACATGGAATGTTTTTTCATTTGTTTATGTCATCTCTGATTTCTTTAAGCAGTGCTTTGTAGTTATCCTTGAAGAGCTCCTTCACTTCCTTTGTTAGCTGTATTCCTGGGTAGTTTATTCCCTTTGGGCAATTGTGAATGGGAGTTCATTCATGATTTGGCTCTCAGCTTGCCTGTTATTTGTGTATAAGAATGCTAGAAAACTTTGCACATTGATTTTGTATTCTGAGAATTTACTGAAGTTGCTTATCAGCTTAAGATGCTTTTTGACTGAGACGATGAGATTTTCTAGATATAGGATCATGTCATCTACAAAGACAATTTGACTTCCTCTCTCCCTGTTTGAGTACACTTTATTACTTTCTCTTGCCTGATTGCCCCAGCCAGAACTTCCAATACTATGATGAACAGGAGTGGTGAGAGAGGGCATCCTTGTCTTGTGCCAGTTTTCAAGGGGAATACCTCCAGCTTTTGTCCATTCAGTACGATATTGGCTGTTCGTTTGTCATAGATGGCTTTTATTATTTTGAGGTATGTTCCTTCAATACCTAGTTTACTGAGAGTTTTTAACATAAAGGAATGTTGAGTTTTTTGAAAGGCCTTTTCTGTGTCTATTGAGATAATGTGGTTTTGTCTTTAGTTCTGTTTATGTGATAAATTATGCTTATTGATTTGTATATGTTGAACCAACCTTGCAATTGGAGATGAAGCCAACTTGATTGTGGTGGATAAGCTATTTGATGTGCTGCTGGATTTGGTTTGCCAGTATTTTGTTGAGGATTTTTCCATCGATGTTCATCAAGGACATTGGCCTGAAGTCTTCTTTATTTGTTGTATCTCTGCCAGGTTTTGGTATCAGGAGGATGTTGGCTTTACAGAATGATTTAGGGAGAAGTCCCTCCTTTTCAATTTTTTGGAATAGTTTCAGTAGGAAAGATATCTGCTCTTTTTTATACCTCTGGTATAATTCAGCTGTGAATCCATCTGGTCCTGGGCTTTTTTTTTTTTTTTTTTTTTTTTTTTTTTTTTTTTTTTTTGGCCTGGTAGGCTATTTATTATTGCCTCAATTTCAGAACTCATTATTGGTCTATTCAGGGATTGCCTCCTGGTTTAGTCTTGGGATGGTGTATGTATCCAGGAATTTATTCATTTCGTCTAGATTTTCTAGTTTATGTGCATAGAGATGTTTACAGTATTCTCTGATGGTTGGTTGCATTTCTGTGGTGTCAGTCATAATTTCCCCCATTTCTGATGGTGTTTATTTGAATCTTTTTCTCTTTATTAGAGTAGCTAGTGGTCTATTTTATTAATTTAAAAAAACAGTTTCTGAAATCATTGATTTTTTGAAGAGTTTTTTGTCTCTATTTCCTTCAGTTCAGCTCTGATCTTAGTTATTTCTTGTCTTTTGCTATCTTTGGGGTTTTTTTGTTCTTGGTTCTCTGGTTCTTTTAGTTGTGATGTTAGGTTGTTAACTTGAGATCTTTCTAGCTTTTTGATGTGGGTATTTAGTGCTATAAATTTCCCTCTTAACACTGCTTTAGCTACATCCCAGAGATTCTAATCCTAATATGTTGTCACTTTGTTCTCATTAGTTTCAAAGAACTTCCTAATTTCTACCTTAATTTTATTATTTGCCCAAGAGTCATTCAGGAGCAGGTTGTTCAGTTTCCGTGTAGCTGTGTGGTTTTGAGTGAATTTCTCAATTTTGAGCTCTAATTTCATTGCACTGTGGTCTGAGAGACTGTTATGATTTCAGTTCTTTTGTATTTGCTGAGGAATGATTTACTTCCAATTTTGTGATCAATTTTAGAGTCAATGCTTTGCAGCAATTAGAAAAATGTATATTCTATTGTTTTGGAGTAGAGAGTTCTGTAGATATCTATCAATTCCACTTGATCTAGAACTGAGTTCAGGTCCTGAATATCTTTGTTAATTTTCTGTCTTGTTAACCTGTCTAATATTGTCAGTGTGGTGTTAAAGCCTCCCACTATTATTGTGTGGGAGATTAAGTCTCTTTGAAGTTCTCTAAGAATCTGCTTCATGAGGCCGGGCGTGGTGGCTCACACCTGTAATCCCAGCACTTTGGGAGGCCAAGGTCAGCGGATCACGAGGTCAGGAGATCGAGACCATCCTGGCTAACATGGTGAAACTCCGTCTCTACTAAAAATACAAAAAAATTAGCCAGGCATGGTGGCGGGTGCCTGTAGTCCCAGCTACTCAGGAGGCTGAGGCAGGAGAATGGTGTGAACCTGGGAGGCGGAGCTTGCAGTGAGCAGAGATCGCGCCACTGCAGTCCAGCCTGGGTGACAGAGTGAGACTCTATCTCAAAAAAAAAAAAAAAAAAAAAAAAAAGAATCTGCTTCATGAATCTGGGTGCTCCTATATTGGACACATATATATCTAGGATAGTTAGCTCTTCTTGTTGAATTGAACCCTTTACCATTATGTAATGTCTTCCTTTGTCTTTTTTGATCTTTGTTGATTTAAAGTCCATTTTGTCAGAAACTAGGATCGCATTCCCTGCTTTTTTCTGTTTTCCATTTGCTTGGTAAATTTTCTTTCATCTCTTTATTTGAACTATGTGTGTCTTTTGCAAGTGAGATGGATCTCTTGGAGACAGCATAACAGTGGATCTTGATTCATTATCCAGCTTGTCATTCTTTGTCTTTTAATTGGAGCATTTAGCCCATTCACATTTAAGGATAGTATTGCTATGTGTGAATTTGATCCTGTCCTCATGATGCTGGTTATTTTGCAGACTTGTTTATGGGATTCATAGTGTCACTGCTCTGTGTACTTCAGTGTGTTTTTGTAGTGACTGGTAATGGTTTTTCCTTTTCATATTTAGTGCTTCCTTTGCAATCCTGATGGCAACAAATTCCCTCAGCATTTACTTGTCTGAAAAGGATCTTATTTTTTCTTCATTTATAAAGCTTAATTTGGCTGGATATGCAATTCTGGGTTGGAAATTATTTTAAGAATGTTGAACATCACTCCCCAATCTCTTCTGGCTTGTAGGGCTTCTGTTAAGAGGTCTGTTGTTGGTCTGATGGGCCTCCGTTTGTAGGTGACCTGCCCTTTCTGTCTGACTGTCCTTGATATTTTTTCTTTCATTTTGAACCTGGAGAATCTGATGATTACGTGTCTGGGGGATGATCTTGTGGAGCATCTTACTGGGGTTCTCTGCATTTCCTGAATTTGAATGTTGGCCTTTCTTGCTAGGTTCTCCTGGATAATCTCCTTAAGTGTTTTTCAACTTGGTTCTATTATCCCATCATTTTCAGATACCCCAGTCAGTCATAGATTCTGTCTCTTGACATAATCCCATATTTCTCAGAGGTTTTGTTCATTCCTTTTCATTCTTTTTCCTCCATTCTTGTCTGCCTGTCTAAACGCAGAAAATCAGTCTTCTAGCTCTGAGGTTCTTTCTTCCACTTGTTCTATTCTGCTATTAATATATGTGATTGCATTGTGAAGTTCTTGTGATGTTTTTCAGCTCTAACAGGTCAGTTATGTTCCTCTTTAAACTGGCTGTTTTGACTGTTAGCTTCTGTATTGTATTATCATGATTCTTAACTTCTTTGCTTTGGCTTACAATGTGCTCCTTTACCTCAGCAAAGTTAATTATTACCCACATTGTGAAGCCTACTTCCGTAATTTCAGCCATCTCAGCCTCAGCCTAGTTCTTAGCCCTTGCTGGAGCAGTGTTGTGGTCATTTGGCAGAAAAGGGACACTCTGGCTTTTTGAGTTTTCAGTCCTTTTGTTGATGCCTTCTCATCTTTGTGGGCTTATCTACCTTCAATCTTTGAGGTTGCTGACCTTTGGATGGGGTTTTTGTGTTTTTTCTTTGTTGTTGTTGTTGACTTGCTTTTCTTTTAACAGTCTGGCCACTCTTCCATAGGGCTGCTGCAGTTTGCTAGGGGTTCACTCCAGACCCTAGTTGCCTCAGTTCTTCCCATAACTAGAGGTATTGCCAGTGAAGCCTGCAAAACAACAAAGATGGCAGCCTGCCGCTTCCTCTGGAAGTTCCATCCAGTAGGTACTGACCTATTGCCAGTCTGAACGCATCTGTAGGGGGTGGTTAGAGACCCTGGTTGTGAGGTCTCACCCAGTCAGGAGGAACAGGATCAGGGACCTACTTAAAGAAGCAGTCTGGCTGCTTTTTCGTATAGCAGCTGTGCTGTGTTGGGTTTCCTTTCATCCCCTGATTGGTCTGGGCTTTCGAAGGCCCACAGGCTGGACCAGCTGACTAGCCCAAATGACCGAGGTCGTGGCCTGCTCCATCCCTCAGGCACTCTGTCCCAGGGAGAAATTGGAACTCTGTCAACCCCCTGGAACACAGGCAGTGGTTGGAGGTCCTGACTGGAAGGACCTGGCTGGGAGGACTCACCTCACAAGGGGGAGTGGATCAGGGTCCCACTTAAAGTGAGTTATTTTTTAATCATCATAAAACTATTCAGGAATTCTCTTCTTCTTGAGTTGCTTTTGTTAAATTCCATTTTTCAAAGAATATATGCATTTTATCTAAATTTGATGTTTTTGACATAAAGTTGTCTTCAGTATCTTCTTATTATATATTTAATATCTATTGCCACTACAATTATCAACAGTATTTTCAATTCTGCATTAATTATCCTCTCTTCTCTCTTTCTCTCTCACTCCATTAAGGTTGCCAGAGGCTTATCAATTTTATAATGCTTTCAAAGAATGAAGTCTTTGTTCCATATGAATTTTGGAATTGTTCTTTCTAATACTGTGAGAAATGATGTTGGTATTTTGATAGCAATTGCACTAAATCTGTAGATTGCTTTGGGCAGTATATGAAAAAATGCTCAATATCACTAATCATCAGGGAAATGTAAATTAAAACCACAGTGAAATACCTCCTTATTCCTGCAAGAATGGCCATTATTAAAAAGTGAAAAAACAATAGATGTTGGCATAGATGTGTTGAAAAGGGAATGCTTATACACTGAGTGTGGGAATGTAAATTAGTACAACCTGTATGTAAAACAGTATAAAGAGTCCTTAAAAAGCTAAAAGTAGATCTACCAGTGGATCCAGCAATCTCACTACTGGGTATCTACCCAGAGAAAAGAAGTCATTATATGAAAAAGACACTGGAACATGTATGTTTATAGCAGTACAATTCACAATTGTACAGATGTGGAACCAACCTAAGTACCCATCAACTAATGAGTGGATAAAGAAAATATGGTGTGTGTGTGTGTGTGTATATATATATATATATATATATATATATATATAGAGAGAGAGAGAGAGAGAGAGAGAGACGCACCATGGACTACTACTCAGCCATTCAAACAAACAAAATAATGTGCTTTGAAGCAACTTGGATGGAGCCAGAGGCCATTATTCTAAGCGAAGTAACACAGGAGTGGAAAACCAAAAACCATATGTTCTCACCTATAAGTGGGAGCCAAGCTATGAGTATGCAAAAGCATACAGAGTGAAATAATGGACTTTAGAGACTCAGAAGGGGGAGGGTGGGATAGGGGCAGAGACAAAAAGCTACACATTAGGTACAATGTACACTACTCGGGTGACACGTGCACTAAGAACTCAGAATTCACCACTATATGATTCATCTATTAACCAAAAACCACTTGTACCCCCAAAGCTACTGAAATATACAAAAAAATGAGGTTTTGCCTTTGCTGATAATCTTTATTTTACATTTCTATTTTATTCATTTCTGTCTTTTTTTCTTGTTTCTAGTTTCATTGCCATTATTCTGATTTTTTCCCTAATTTCTACAGGTAGACAATTAATTAATTACTTTTCTTCTTTTTTTCTACTATGAGTATAAAAGAGTCTAGATTTTCCCCTTTAGCTGTGCTATAGCTATACATCATCAATACTGATATGTAGTACTTTCATTATTGCTTGATTAAAAATATTTCCTGATTTTTGTTATTCCTTTTTTCTATATCACATATTTATTTCCAAATATATGTATGTTTTTGAATTAACTTTATTTATATTAAATTTAATTGCATGAAAGTCCAAGGATAAGTTCTTTATGATGCAAAATTTTTGAAATTGGTTGATCCTTTATGGCCTGGTGAATGTCAACTTTCATAATATTCATTGTGCAATTTAATAGATGTATTCTGCTATTTCTACATACAATGTTTTACTACATTTGTAATCTGAAACTAGTTAACTGCATTAATCTCATCTTTTGATTTATTAATGACTGAAAGAAGTGAATTATAGTCTTCTACCAATAATTTACATTTTTGAATTTGCCTTGATTGGTTTTAACCTTCTCTTGCCTGGCTTTGAATGTAAACTATTGTCATTTTTGTGGGATTCACTTATTAATTTTTTCCTAGTTATTCCACCCAATTACACAACTCCAAACAATATATTTTAGTTCTGCCTACTTTTGAAATCCATATAATTGTATTACACAGGATGTATGGTGGTGTGTCTGGCTTCTTTCTCTCAGTACACCTGATCGTGTTGAGTATAGCTGTATTTTTTTTCTTAATTGATGTATATTGCTCTGTTTTATGACTAAATTATAATTTATCTACTGAAGTGTTCAGAACATTATCAATTCATCACAATTCTTGGAATTCATGCTGCAAATACAGATAAAACCAGCTTATTTTTGCTAATCCTCAGGATAAGTTTTTACACCTTCAATCAGTACCAATGTTCAGAACAGGTGATTTTCTTTGGCATCCCTTGGAGGGGTTAGTTATTTCTAGTTTACCTCTTTTTACCTTGCGTTTTTATGTCCTATCCTCTGAGTCCCATGAAACAAAGACTCACTCGGTTTTGCCAATGCCCTCAAGGGAAAAACCAGCTTCAGTGTTCCACCTATTTCTTTTAGTATCAACTTCATTTAGTATTTGTCCTATTTATTTGTTTCTTGTCAGCAACCTTATGTGTATAAGATGTCCTTTTTATAATACCCAAATAGTAGTTGCCGTTAGTAAGAGACTCTGTCTTAATACTTAATTCACTGTATTGCAAGAAAAGGAGGTAACTCTGTGTACTTCTTCAGTGTGCTCCTGTGGCAATTTTTAAAATAGACCCAAATTATTTTTACAGTCCTGCAATTGAAAAATAGAGTCTGTATACCCTCTTCTTGAATCTGGCCCTTTGATTGTTTGAACAGTGGAATAAACTGCAAGTGCTAACTTCCAGGCCCAAGCCTTGTAAAAATGGCAGCATGCACTTCTCATCTTTTGGGACATTTGCTCTTTCAAATTACATGATACGTGCAACAGTTTACTTGGTGTAACTGACCTACTAGTTGACCCGCTGGTCAATAATCTCAGTCACTGAGCCCGGCAACTCAAAGTCATGGTCTCAACCATTATTCTACGTATTTTGCATAACTCATCAGTGCAGTAAATATATACCAAAGTAGTCATAACGTTTGCAAAGAAAAGACAGAGATCACGATAAGAGTGTAATTAATTACTTCATTCATATTTAATATAAGCAATGGGGCTAAACATCTATTGAACATCAAATATTAATAATATAAAACTTATAACAAGAAATAGGTTGGTGTTTTTAAGCACATGATATATTATTTGGGAAAAAAGTCTTCTGAAAGATATAAAGTGAAGGATCACTTGATATGAAATAAATATAAAAGGCAAATAATACTTGTCTAAAGTAGCTATTCTTACTGTGGTGATTATAATCTTATAGGGGTTTTTAAAATATACAAATGACCAAATCCCATTAAAACCCAAGAAGGGAAGGTTTAGATGAACTGGTTAAAGCACTAGTTTTCAATGATGGCTGAATATTATAACTATTTATGGACCTTTAATACAAATTTCCAGGATGTATTCCAGGCCAATTAAATCAGGATCTTTTGGTGTGGGACTCATGCTGCATCAATATATTTTAAAGGTCCCCAGCTTTTCCATGTTTATCCAAAGTTGAAAACTCTGGTCTAAAATATCTGATTGATTGCATATATTGTTGTAATTCAAGAAAAATACTTTTAAAATTAAAAGTTCTATATACTTAACTGAATTTGCATTTCCATGATCAATCCAATCAAAATTAATATAAAATTTGAAAAAGCAAATTCTCCTAGAAAGAAAAACTCAGTGATGTATAGAAAAATTGAAATAAAATGGCATATTTAACTTGGAAAAAATAGGAAAGCTTTTTTAATCTAGAAAGTGAACTGCTCAATTCAGTCCAAAGTCAGAACCTAACATGAATTAAATACCATGCAAATGTGGCTTCTCTCTCAAGTAAATGAGCAAAATGTTGAATGCATTTCACTTATTTATAAAAAATTATTGATCAACTTTATATTTTAGTCACTAAATGTTTGAGACATAGCAGTGAGAAAAATTAAAGAAGATTCCAAACCTCCTCACATAATCAAATGGGGAGACAGAAAATAAACAAAAAACTCATGCAAATATCTGTGTAATGATGAGCTGTGAAAGGGGCTATGAAGGAAAGATTCATGGTGCTATAAGACCTCTTACAGAATAATCTGGCAAAAGTGACAGTATGCTAGCTTTAAGGCCCAAAGTTTAAGGAACTGGGAGCTTCCAATTCCTGTCTATCCAGACCCTCACTCTTGAATTTCAGATATCTTGATTTAAGGAAGCCCAAGCAGCCAGTGAAGAGACATACGTGGAGAAGAACGAATGCCCCTGGACCATAGCTAACAGCCAATACCCACTTGTCAGCCATGGACATGAGCAATCTTGAAAAGTCAGTCATAGAGCCCACCTCGCTTCCTCCAGTGTGGAGATCAAGAAGGGCTTCTCACAAAGATTGTGTCTAAAGAGGGAGCAGGAGGTATAGCATGTACAAAGGCCTCTGGAAGAAAGCGTGCTTACAGTTATGGCCTATCTGCAAGCCAGAATATTTTAGTTGGGCAATTAACTGGATTATATGCAAAACTGTTGAATGTTACTCAGTATATGTTCTGAGTTAGAAAACAATGGAAACACAAATATGTTTTATATAAAACATCACTATCAACAAGACACATAATGGTATCAAAGAAAAAAAACAGTATTTAGTTTAAAATGTGACTAATGGTACATACAGATGAGTTGAAAGATATTTTTAAAATCCACTCTTTAATTTTCATATGCACTCTTGTTCACTAGAATATTATTCTATATTTTTAAACCACAAATAATGACTTTTTTTGGTCCAGCAGAATTATATAACACCTATAAACTTGATTTTTTCCTATTGTTATTTTGAATTATAAGGAGGTGGAAAAGTGTTCTTACCAACTTCTATGAAATACTTATATTGAGTTGAGCTTTATGAGTTCAAATAGTCATACTTGAAAATTGAGTTTCAACCCACTGATTACAAGTTGTACTCTCACTGTTCTAAGCATATCCTTGCATAAATATTCTGAAGTAAAGAGGAACTGGAAGATTAGTGAAGCATCATCATCTTATTCAGCTCTTTGTCTGTCATTTGGAAACAAATATATGTTGAAATATCTTCCTGTCCATGTATTGACCTCCTTCCTAGCACTTGCCAAGATGTGATTGAAACTAATGATACAGTGTTAAGGCTCAGTGCAAATCCTGACATGTGATGGATTAAAGCACAGAATTAGTCAGACCTTATGATTTTCAGACAGCTTCTGCAGCTGTTTGTTTTTGATACACCAATGAGATGAATTGAGCATGAATTTTTATCATTTTCAACAGTGCTCAAATACATCCGTGACCTATCAGCTCTTTCTAGAAAGCCCAAGCACTCTCCTTAGCCTCACTGAGGTCTCCAATACCAGTAAAAAAATTATAATTTCTTGAGTTAAGTACTCACCTGCACAATAGATCATGCTGTCCCCCTTTTTTAATGTGCCGCATTGGGTATTAATAGTGTTCAGATTTATTTTCCATAATTCAGAACTTGGCTTATAAAATATTAAAATGCTTATTAATGTTTGGAAAAGTGGCAGAGGCAATAATATGGATTGCAAGCAGCACACGGCTGTACTTCCACCACATACTAATTAGCCACACATATAAAATACCTTGATTAAATTTCGTCTTCATTGTTCAGAAGGCGAATAGAAAAGAGGACATAGAAAACACATTTACAGATGCTTAGGACAAGCCAGTGTTTATCTGAAACTTTAACCTTTAGCCCAAACTGGTCAAATAATACTTATGAACACATATTATATATAGTAATTGTAAAAGGTTCCTTACCTTCTCATGCATAAAAAGAAAAGTGAATCCCTTACGTTACTAAAAAACAAAATAAAACCCATATACTTTCAAATTATGAATCTTCTGTGCTTCTCAATCATCATCATCAGGTACAGCACTTTTTTTCCCCCAAGAATAATGAATTCAACTTGTTTCATTCACCGTTTTGACTGACACCTGTAACCTGCATTTGCAAAATACATAAAAAGATTATAGATGCACTGTCTGCCCACAGAGTAGTATGGCACATCTACAGTGCTCTGTTCAGGGGATCCCACTAATAGAAAACTAAAATTATTTTGCAAAATCATACACATAGTATATAATATCTATATTTCTAAAAATAGAAAGCTCTAGTAACACCATCTTTTATGTTTTGATACCAATCACCAATGTAGTAGTCAATATTAAGCAAAATGAAGAATAAATTAAACCAGTACTAAATAATTATTTTGTTTTGTTTAATTTTAACAGGATAAATTTATAAAAACATGCTTTAAAGGGCTTTTGAAAATTAAAGTGCTTTTGACCTGTTTGCCACTTAATGATCTATGTTGGAATGGAAGATAAACAGAGTGAAAAATTTAGCACAAGGCGAAATAAATCCCCCATTACTGGAATTTTTCGGAGCATACTGCTAATGCTCCAATTTCTCCAACAACCTCAATTAATGAATTAATCACAAATAAGCACATCTCTCCCATATATTCAAGTGGCTAAGGTCCATTTTGCATTTCTCCTCTGGGTAACCCACTTGCTTCCACTGTGAGAGTATATCCTGCCTCTCTTATTACTAGTAAGGGACACTGGAAAACTATTTCAATTTTATGGAACGTAGTTTTTCAGTCTTTCAGATAGAAATAACGACACCTACCTCAAATGATACAATTAAATGAGACTGTTTATATGAATCACAAATTACAATGTAATTCTTTTAAGAAGTATTAGCTCCTAGTGGATAGTTACCCTAACTCCCCCAATTTCATATATTAAAACCCTAATCCCCAATGTGATGGCATTTGAAGAAAGGGTATTGGGGAAGGAATTAAGTATTGAGGGCGAAATCCTTATGATGGGATTAGTGCCCTGATAAGAAGAGACACAAGAAAAAAAGCTTGCTTCCTCTCTGTTTTCTACCATGTGAGGACACAACTAGAAGACAGCTATCTGCAAACCAGAAGGTGGGCATCACTAGACACTGGATCTGCTGGCACCTTCATTTTTAACTTCCAGGCCTCCAGAACTGTAAGAAACAGATGTTTGTTGTTTAAGCCACCAATCTAAGAGATTTTGTTATAGAAGCCCAAACTAAGATATATAATAGCAATAATTTCTGGAATTGCATTTAATATTTTCATTAATCTGAAATTTTAGAAAGTTATAAGAATTATGAAGGGCAGAATAGAAATTAAAGTATTATAAATGTCAATTAGATGATTATTTTCTATATCTCCTAAATCACAATGCTACAAATATGAAGACTTTCTGTGTTTATCCTTCTTTTCATTAGAGAATTTATTTATATTTCAGATAGATTTTGTATGCTTTTAACGGCAGTCCATAGATTAAATTCAATATTCTTAAGAAGTACTTCATAAGGAAATTATTTATTCATTTTTAGACACAGGGTCTCACTGGATCCCTCAGTTTAGAGTGCAGAAGCGCAATCATGGCTTATCACAGCCCCAACCTCCTTGGCACAGGCGATCCTCCCAACTCAAACTCCCATGTAGCTGGAACTACAGGCACATGCCACCACACCTGGCAAAAAAAAAAAAAAAAAAAACTTACAGAGATAGGGTCTCATTTTGTTGCCCAGGCTGTTCTTAAACTCCTGGGCTCAAGCTATCCTCCTCCCTCAGCCTCCCAGTGTGCTGAGATTACAGGCATGAGCCACCACACCTGGCCTGAAAGGAAATTATGTGATTTTCATTCAGAGAAGATTGGCAAGCCATCTTTGATCACATATATAGTGTGTATATATATATATGTATCACCACCTTTCATATATACACACACATATATTTATATATATGTGTGAATACCTACACATATGTGTATTAGGCTAATACATATATCTTGTGTGTGTGTATATATATATATATACACACACATATTTTTTGTGTATATACATATATACACACACACACACACACACACACATATCTTGTGATCTTAACTGAGCAAGAGTGGAGTTTCAAGTGAATGCACACAAGCACACAAGGTATTGCAAGTACTACAAACAATTGGATAACTAGTTGCAAGTCCACTGGCAGGAATTATTAAGAGGAAGTGATCTTCCATGAAAGGAATATCCTGACTGGTAACTGTGCATTAGCTGGCATTATTGTTGATGAACCATCAGAATATGAATTATGGAATAACTCAAAAGACTAAGAAATTCTTATTTACTCTTTGAGAATGAGAATTACATTTTTATTGATGTGAAATCTACTGTGAATAATAGATATATTATGACACATTGGCCCAGAAGGATTAATATGCACTACATTTTTTGTTGTTTATCTGCTGTTTTATCTTAAGCCCTGAGGCTTTCATTGAGACCAAGGTTAAATAAAATCAAGAAATAGGAAATGTCTCCCTCTCTCTTCCTTTCGCCCCATACAACCTACTCCTGTCTCCTCCTGCCCCCACCAAAAAGATTAGAGAAGCACCATCCCTACTGTAGATAAGTAAGTTAAAACAAGATGATGGAATTTTTAAATTATTAAAGAAGATATGTAAATATATTTTGTTTATGTTTACTAAGAGGATATTTTGCAGGTATATGACTGAATACTAAACTTATCATCAGAAATATCTGCTAGAGGATCTTGTTACTTCCTATGCAGTATATACTATATGTATGATGTTTCTCTTTAAGTTTACATATAAAAATATATAACTTTATAATACCAGTCCTTCTGAATTTGCTCTCTATTTAAATCATTTTCCTCCATATTGTGATACATTGTTAAACCATTTACTATTATTGAAGCTTTTATTAGTATTCAGCAATATTTATTAACCTTCGAGAAAGTCACTGACCTCATTTAAGAAGGTAATGAAAGCCATTCCAGAAAAAATGCACACAAACATGAGCACACATAGTTTCCTACAATGCCAAGAAGCTCATACATATGCTACAGCTCATCCACAGACCAGACTGATTAGACTTAAGAAATCCTGACCAAAGGCTCTTTCACCCTGAGGCTACATAGCATTCATGCTTTTGAAAGTCCACAGAGCTTTAAGTTAAAAGACATGGGTTCCTACCCAAATTCCACTTCTTAATTAACTTTAGCATCCTCATTTATAAAATACGAAGTGGTCTCTTTGGTCTTGTCCTACCTAAAATTCTCTGGGTCTAGGCAAATAAGTTGCTTTAAGGAAAAAAAAAAAGGCTCTATTTGAAAATTACAAAAGAAAAGCAGATATACAATATGAACAAGGTTTTGTATTTTTCTATAATTTATTAACATAAGAAACCTTGAAAAGAAAATATATGTGCCATCTGAATTTTGTTAATAAACATGACTTTATGGCTTTTGAAAAAGTAAATTGGCTTTTAAGGGCCATATTTACGTATGATTATATGAACCATGCTTGCATATTCTTTTGTTTTCCTTTTCAGGAGTGTTTTAAGGATATTAAATAATAAGTTAATTGAGTAGAAGTATATGGCTGACTTAAATATTGAGACAATACATTCATTTTTATAATTAATACTATATTTTGCAAGTGTCTGAATATTTGAAAGGAACCGACTGCCATTGACTATTGATACTGACCCAGCTTTCACACTGACAAAGGAATTATATATAATGTCATCAACAAATCTGATCTGATCATCTTTGGTTGTCTTAGCTTAATTTTAAATTTGAAAAGTAAAGAGTGAGCATACTTGCAATTGGGGATGTCTTAATACACATATCTTCCATCACTGACTTCACATGTAATTTTCTGAGCACATGAAGTAGATCATCATGTGATAGACAGAATCTAATTCTTTTTCTCCAGAAATTGGGGGAAATTTCCAGCAGTAAAGAAAACAAGAGAGGATATATTTCACTTGCAAAAATATTAAGGAATTCCTGTGAGATACAGGACACAAGAGACCTGAATGAAGGAAGGACTCATTCAAAACTCTCATCCTGTGAGAGAGTATCTTTGCTGGAAGTAAGTGGAAAGCACTGTCACAGGATGTGGAATGTGAAACTTAGGAAGTCATAGCAGAGGCAAAGTGTGCAGTAAGCTTGTGGGAGGAGCACATCAACCCTACAACCACTGTATCCTTGAATCAAGATTTTATGACTTTTTTTCTGCATTACACATGACATAAAGATAGTTTTGTCATTCAGCAAAGGACACCATCATTTTCAAAATTCAGCAAACATGACAAGCAACAACAAGAAATACATTAGCTATCTGTATTAACTGCCACTAAGTTAAATTCTGGACCACATATCTCTGTTTCACTAAGTAGCTAAGTTTCTAAAGTATTATCATTGAAAGTAACACAATGCTAAATTTTACACTGTCTGTGCTTCTAGGCCTATTGGACATACGTTGATATCCGCATGAATCTAAGGGATAGCTTTCAACTCAAATTTCCTTTCAGCCAAATCTGAGAATGTATAAGTGTTCAAATCCTTTTCTTTAAGGACACAGAAATGGAAACAAGTCACCATACTTACAAAAGATAAGCACTGTGGTTCTAAAGAGGACCTGTTTGGAAAACTCTGTCTCTCTGAAATAAATGGTAAAAAAGAAGAGAAGGGAGAAACACATAGAAAATTTCTATTTGGTGTTTTCAAAAATAGTCAAAGCAGCATTGCATCTGAGAAATTAGGGCAGCAATTATAAAGAGAGAATAAATTTAGATCAGTAAATATAGTATGAGTATGATTAAATGACAACTAATTTAAAAATATTATGAGAGACAATAGCAGAATATTGAATAATCAAGAAAATTACATTGGCCAAGGAAAGCACAAACACATTCTCAAAATTCAAAAGACAGTGACAAAGAGAATAAAATAATAAGAAAAATTTAAAATGGAGAGCAGATTCAATCTACTTATAAATAAGAATTACAAAAAAGGGAAAGCAGATTATTGAAATTTGGTAAGCCTGGGTGTTCAAACCCATGAGGCTGTACCAGGAATCAAAGCTGTGGAGTAGAACAAATATTATACCCCCGAGATCTTTCACAAATGAGGACCATTTCAGTGGAGCTGAAGTCTGCATCTTACATTAGTTATAGGAAAGTGAGAGAAGATCCAGATTTTCAAGACAATGGGAGCAGACGCATGCACACACAAATGTGTGTGTTATATATTTGAAATAAAATAAAATAACATTACAGAACTGAGAGTAAACATGTTGATCATTCCAATATATGTAACTGGACATAATACACCTATTAGAAGAATAAGTAAGTTCATACTGACTAACAAAGCAAAATCCAATTACATACTACATATAAGACAGAAAGATAGCCAGAGATATAATAAATGAAAATAAAGAGAAAGCAAGAGTCGAAATCTTGTTATCCAACAAAATAAAACTTAGAATTAAAAAATGTTAAAAATGACAAAGAAGGGCACTTTATAAAGCTAAGACTATAATTCACCATGAGAATATAATAATTATTACTATTTTTGAATCCAACGAAAACAATTTTCATAGAGCAGAAACTTTAGTCTTGGAAGAATTAAATATAAATAACTAATGATAGACACCACCTTTCTCTCACTTGAAGATGGAAAAAGTGGGCAAGATACTGATAGGAATAGAGAAGACCTAAGCAACACCATCAAGTGAACTACGTCTCCAGGTATCCCCCAACAGGGGATAGGTATCCAGTTATTCTCCCAACTGTAGGGAATGTATATTTTTTGGAAACCTTAATTTACTAAAATTGATTTTAGTAAAGAATAGAAAAAGTTGTAAAAGATCCTCCACAGCCCTCAGGAAAGAGAGAGGAAAAAGTGGGAGACACAATTGGTTTAACCAGAATTGTGATGACTAGATAATTCCATTGCTGCTTGAGCTGATCCAGAGAGTAAACAAGAAAAACTTACAAATTATTTTTATGAGACAAATATGATGTGACTTTGAACAAAAACATAATCACACAAAAAGGACAGTATTGATCAGTCTTCCCCATGGATATTATGGCAGAAATCTAAAATATTAGCCAAGTGAATCCAACATCATATTAAAAATTAATATATATAAAGATCAGGAGGGGTTTCGAGGTGGGCGGATTGCCTGAACTCAGGAGTTCGAGACAAGCCTGACAACATGGTGAAACCCCATCTCTACTAACATACAAAAAATTAGCCAGGCGTGGAGGCAAGTTCCTGTAGTCCCAGCCACTTGGGAGGCTGAGGCAGGAGAATTGCTTGAATGTGGGAGGCAGAGGTTGCAGTGAGCCGAGATCACACCACTGCACTCCAGCCTGGGTGACAGAGTAAGACTCCATCTCAAAAAAGAAAAAAAAAAGAAAAGTAAAGTAAAGAAAAAGAAAAAAGAAAAGAAAAGAAAATTAATATATAAAGATCATGAGGGGTTTATTTCAGGAATATAAGAATGGATCAATATTAAGAAAGCCATTAATTTAATCATTGTAATAGATCTAAGAAGAAAAAGCATTATGAATATCTCTTCAGATCTTATAAGACACTTGACAACATTTACAATCCTTTCATGTTAAAAGAATTCAATAAAATAGAAAGTTACTTCTTAACTTTCTTAACACACACTCACTCATACACACAACATTATTGCACATTAGGTGAAATAATAGACGTATTCCTACTAAAGTAAGACAAAGAAAAGGATTCTTACTATCTCAACTATAATTGAACATTGAATTAAAATAATTGACAAGTGAAAACAACTAAATTCAATAATTTTTAAAGGACCACATAAAACTATCTCTATTTACGGGAAAATCATTATGTATCTAGAAATCTTCTACCAAAAATATTAACAGAAAAATTGTTATGGCCAGGTGCGGTGGCTCAGGCCTATAATTCCAGCACTTTGTGAGGCGGAGGCAGTGGATCACTTGAGGTCAAGATTCGAAACCAGCCTCGCCAAGATGGTGAAACCCTGTCTCTACTAAAAATACTAAACATTAGCTGGGTATGGTGGCGTGCACCTGTAATCCCAGCTACTTGGGAGGCTGAGGCAGGAGAATGGCTTGGAGGCAGAGGTTGCAGTGAGCTGTGATCATGCCATTGCACTCCAGTTTGGGAGGCAGAGCGAGACTATGTCTCAAAAAAAAGAAAAAAAAAAAGAAGAAAACTTGTTATAAAAATAAGGAAATTGGCTGGGCGTGGTGGCTCACACCTGTAAATCCCAGCACTTTGGGAGGTCAAGATGGGCGGATCACCTGAGGTCAGGAGTTCGAGACCAACCTGGCCAACATGGTGAGTTTGAGACCAACCCGGCCAACATGGTGAAACCTCATCTCTACTAAAAATACAAAAAATTGGCCAGGTGTGGAGGCATGTGCCTGTAATCCCAGCTACTCAGGAGACTGAGGCAGGAGAATCACTTGAACCTGGGAGGCAGAAGTTGCAGTGAGCCGAGATCATGCCATTGCACTCCAGCTTGGGCAACAAGAGTGAAACTTCATCTCAATAAATAAATAAGGAAATAAGGAAATTAAGTAAAGTATAAGAATATAAACCTAGCAGGTAAACAGGTAGCATTCCTATATAAAAACTCTAACTGAATAGAAGATACAGTAGAAAGAAATTCCATGTATAATAGCAAACAAAAATTCAGGTACAGAAACTATAAGTACTGAAATACACACACAAAAAGAGATTTAACAAGTAGAAACATTCACCATGTCATAAAGAATAAGCAACATTATAAATATGTCAATTCATTCCAAGATCGTCTATAAATTTAATTCAATTCCAATGACATTACCATCAATTGGCTTTTTCCCGGAGCTAGAAAGGTAGATCATAAACTTTATATGGAATAACACATTGGGAATTACTGTCAAAATAACCCTGAAAATAAGAGTTAATGCTATCGCAGACACACACACACACACAGAGAGAGAGAGAGAAAGAGAGAGAGAGATTGGCTTAAAAGAGTACATGGTGTATGATTCACTTATATTAAATTCAAGAATAGTCATAACTAATTCGGTGAGTCATAACTAATAAGTCAAAAGAGTGAAAAGAGTAGCTACCTTTAAAAGAGGGAAGGCAAACAAGAATCTATTAGAGTGATGACAAATTTTTAAATCTTGTTTTGTGTTGTGGTTATACGGGTATAAGCGTATGCACAATTTTTAAGGTTTGTGCAAGGGTATATTTTATTTAATAGACTTCATTTTTGAACAAATACTACAGAGAGTTCTTGTACACCCCTTAACCCACACACAATTCCTCTTTTATTTTGCGTTAGTGAGTATACTTGTTCAATGAATGAACCGTTATTAATATATGATTAACCAAAGTCTATAATTTACATTGTTTCACCTTAATATAATACCCCCTGTTGTACAACTTTATGGGTTTTGACAAATGCATAATGTCATATATATGCACCATTCCAGTATCATACAGAATATCATATCTATCTTCTGTATATCACCATAATACAGTATCATACAGAATAATTTCACTGTTTCAAAAATCTCCGCTGCTTCACCTGTTCATCCCTTTCCTCTACCCGCTGGAATCCCTGGCAACCAATGATCTTTTTAGTGTCTCTATAAATTTTGCCTTTTCCAGAATGTCATATAGTTGGATTTATATAGTATTTAGCCTTTCAGACTGGCCTCTTTCATTTAGCAATATGCATTTAAGTTACCTCCATTTTTTTTCATGGCTGGATAGCTCTTTTGTAAAATTACTGAATAATATTCTATTACATAGATATACTATAGATTGTTTATGCTTTCACCTACTAAAGGAGATCTTGGTTACTTCTAGTCTTTGATGATTATGAATAAAACTGCTAAAAACATTTTTGTGGACTAAGTTTTCAACTCAATTGAGTAAATACCTAAGAGCATGATTGCTGGATCATATGGTAAGACTATGTTTAGTTTTCTAAAACCTTTCCAAACCATTTTCCAAAATGGCTGGGCTAGTTTGCATTCTTACCAGCAATAAATGAGAATTACTGTTGTTCTTCATTCTCACCAGGATTTGGTATTGTCCATTTTTGTTTTATCCACTCTCCTAGGTGTGTAGTATCATGTCACATGTCATTGTTGTTTTAATTTGCAATTCCCTAATGACCTATAATGTAGAGCATCTTTTCATGTTTATTTGACATCTGTATATCTTCTTTAGTAACGCGTGTATTCAGAGACTTTGCCCAATTTGTAGTTGAGTTGTTTGTTTTCTTATCTTTGAGTTTCAATAGTTCTTTGTACATTTTGAATACAAGTACATTATCAGATATGTTTTGCAAATATTTGCTCCCAGTCTGTGGCCTGAATTTTCATTGCCTTAACCATGTCTTTTTCAGGGCAGAAGTTTTTAATTTTAATAAAGTCCAAATTATCAATTTTTTTCTTTCATGGATCATGCTTTTGGTATTGTATCTAAAAACTTATTACCAAACTGAAGGTCACTTAGATTTTTTTCCTTTGTTATTTTCTAGAAGTTTTATACTTTTGCATTTTACATTTAGTTCTATGATCCATTTTTAGTTAACTTTTGTGAAAGGTACAAAGTCTCTGTCTACATTCATTTTTTGCATATGAATGCTCAATGGGTCTAGCACTGTGTGTTCAAAAACACATTCTTTTCTTAATTTAATTGCCTTGGCTCCTTCGTGAAAAATCAGTTGGTTATATTTGCATAGGTCTATTTCTGGGCTCCCTGCTCTGTTTCACTGATATATTTCTCAATTATTTAGCCAATCCCACATTGTCTTGATTACTGTAGCTTTATAGTAAGCCTTGGAGTCAAGAATTGCCAGTCTCTCACCTTGATCTTCTTTACTGTTGGCTATTCTGGGGATTTCTGCCTTTACACCTAAATTTTAGAATAAGTTTGTCAATATCCACCAAATAACTTGCTGAGATTTGGATTAAGATGATATTGAACCTACAGACCAAGCTGGGAAGCTGAACATGGAGTATCTCTACATTTATATAGAGAATCTTTGATTTCTTTCATTAGAGTTTTATCTGTATGAGTGTTCCTTCTATAGACCTTGTGCATATTTTGCTAAATTTATGACTAAATTTTCCTTTTTTTGGTGCTAATAGAAATGATACTGTGTTTTTATTTCAAATTCCAATTTTCATCACTGCTGTACAGGAAATTAATTGATTTTGCTATTATTAACCTTTTCTTTTCCAACTTTGCTATAATCACTCATTAGTTCCAAGAGTTTTTTGTTGCTGATTCTTCTGGATTTTCTACATATAAAGTCTTGTCATCTATGAATGAAGACGGTTTTACTTGTTTTTTCCCTGTTGTATCTTTTCTTTTACTTTCTTGCCTTATTGCTCTAGCTAGGACTTCTAATAAAATTTTGAATAGGAATAATTAGAGGGAGCATCCTTGTGCTTTTCCCCATCTTAGGGGAATAGTATCTTGTTTCTCACCACTGATTATGTTAACTATAGAATTTTGTAGTTTGTTTTCTTTTTTATTTATCAAGTTGAGGAAGTTTCCCTCTATTCCTAGTTTGCTAAGTTTTTATTATGATTGTATGCTGGATTTTGTCAAATGCTTTTTCTGCATTTATTGATATGATCATGTGATTTTTCTTCTTTAGCTTATTTATATAAATGATGACATTAATTGATTTTGGAATATTGAACCAATTTTGTATACCTGAAATAAATATTGTTTGGTCATGGCATTATGTCTTTATACAACATTGGATTAAAATTACTCATATTTTGTTGAAGATTTTTACATTTACATCCATGAGAGATATTGACTTCTGTAGTTTTTCTTTCTTGTAATACCTTTATCTGGTTTTAATATTAGTGTAGCACTCACCTTAAATTGAGTTAGGAATTATTCCCTTTGCTTCTGTTTTTTTGTAAGACACTGGAGAATTATCATTTCTTCCATAAATGTTTGGTAGAATTCACCAGTGAAACCATCTATGCCTGATGCTTTCTTTTTTGGAAACGTAATTGTTATGTGTCAACTTGACTGGTCCACAGGAAGCCCAGGCATTAGCCAAATATTTTGAGTGTGCCAGTAGTGGTGTTTTGGATGTTATTAACATTTGAATTAGTAGAATGAGTAAAGATTGCCTTTCATAATGTGGATGGGTCTCATACAATAAATGGAAGCCTGGGTAGAACAAAATGCTGACCTTCCCAACAAAAAGAAAGAATTCCTTCTGCCTGACTGTGTTGAGAAGGGACATCCGTCTTTTCCTGACTTCAGATTGAATTAAAACATCAGCTCCTCTTGAGTCCCAAGCCTGCAGGATTCTGGACTGAAATTTACACCACTGGCTCTCCTGAGTTTGCAGCTTGCTGACTGCAGATGTTGGCACTTCTCAGCTTCTCTCTCTCTCTCTCTCTCTCTCTCTCTCTCTCTCTCTCTATATATATATATATATATATATATATATATATATATATATATATATATATATATATATAATCTTTATACGTAGAGAGTGTACACACACACGCACACACATGCGCATATTGGTTCTGTTTCTCTGGAGAACCCTAATACAGAAGGTTATTAAATATTAAATCGATTGCTTTAATTGACATTAGCTTATTTTTATTATGTATTTCTCCTTCTATGAGATGGTAGTTTGTGTCTTTCAAGGAACTGGTCCATTTCCTCTAAGCTCTCAATGTGTGGACACACAGCTGTTCATAATATTCCTCAATTATCTTTTTAATGTCTATGAGATCAGCAGTGATGACCTCTTTCATTTCTGATATTAATTTGTGACTTTCTCTTTTTTCTTGATTAGCCTGACTAGAGGTTTATCAATTGCACTGATCTTTTTAAAGAACAACCTTTTTCATTTTGGACACATTAATTTTCCCTGAATATTTGTCAGTATATTACACGATTTTGAAATTTTGTTTGTGCTATCCTTTGTCCTATTTTATTTCAAAGTGCTTAATGTGTACATCGTCAAAAATACAAATCTTTATGATTTCTGGGTTTCTTAAATGGCTCAGAAGAGGCTCTCTACCTTCCCTTCTCAAGGCTATTCAAATATTCTTAAAACTTTCTGCAGCTTTTTGGTTTACACTGGATATTTACATTTTAAATATAACTGAACTTTATTTTTATATGTTATCAGATGTATCTCAATTATCTTTCAGATAAAAAGATTGCACCACTTATTAAATTACCGCCTGTGCTAGTTCAGGGATAAGCTAAGCTATACAAACAAAGATACAAACATTCAGTTTAATTCAGCTATGAGGGAGCAGGTCTGCCATCTTCATCAAATAGCTTCCATTTCTGATTCATCAGTTCCCAGAAAACAAGAAACAAAAAGGAAACATGAAAACACACACCCACTCACGATGAGGACACAATTCAGAAATGACACATGCCAGCATCACCTCCATTTTCTTTCCTTTTCCCTTTTGGCCAGTACTACTTAGTTACATGGCCATACCTAAATACAAAGGAGTCTGCAAAATGTAATCTTTACCTGGTGGATCATGTATCCTGCCTAGTTAAAACTCTGTTTATATGGAAAAGAGAAAAAGAGTGTTAAATTATTACTAGCTATTTATCACAATTGTCCTTTTCCTTCTAAATTAAAATGCCCATTAAGTCTTATGAGACTAAGAGTGTTTGTTTTTTTCCTAGACTTTATTCTCTTCCACTAATCTTCATTGTGTTGCTATGACAACACCATTCTCTGCTTACAGAGGTTTTATAGCAAACGTTAAACTTTGATGATGTTAGTTTCTCTGCCCCTTACATTAATTTTTCTTAATTCTTCCAGATATATTTTTAAGTTCTTCTAAATCTAAACCATCAATATTCAAATTAAAATTGAATTAGTCATATTTACTCATTTTAGTGTAGCTTCTTGCAATCAAGAAATCAATTTGTTCTCTAATTCTAGTTTAAATGATTATAATAAGCTTCTTTAATGAAAGTACTTCTGAAATATTCTAAATGTAAATATAATGTGGAGATTATTTACAATAATTATACACGACTTATATCTTCCTCATGTTTGTCCATTTTATATTGGTTAATATGCCACTCTGCCTTATTTTCATGTGTTTCTCCTCAAAGTTACAAATATTAATATCATTATTCCTACTTCCCTGTGGTTTACATTTGCCTTGTCTAGCCTTCCTTGACATTCAGAACTTTTACCAAGAAACGTTTCAGTGTGTAGGGAGGCATTCTATTTTTTTATCATTGCATTTTGACATTAATTCTTCATGAAAATAAATGAGCCTTTTTAATCTATGAACTTAAGATTTTTTCTTTTGACCAAGAAACTAGCTCCCATTACTGTATAATTATAAATTTTGTGTCTGTTTCTGTTTCTATTTATGAAACTCTTACTTATAAATAACTATCTTGGATCTGTTCTTCAAGTGCCTCATATTTTTACTGTTTCTAATTCTATGAAGCAAAATATTTCTCCTACTGTGTTTTTCTCACTACTAAATCAGTTCAGTTGTAAACACAATTTTTCAATTCACTTTTCTAATTTTTAAGTTCAAAAATCATATTATTTATTAAGTCCTTTTGGGTTCTATAGAAATAATTAGGACTGTTCATAAATATCCCGGTGTTTTTCTCCTAAACATGTGGTAAGGATTACACCTTTCTCCCTTGTAGGGTACCAAGTGACTTTCTCTGGCAAACAGTATGTAAGTAGTAGTAATGTGTGTAACAATCATGCAGAACTTTAAGAGCTAGTGTGCAATTTCCCATGCTCCTTTCACCCAGCCTTAATGAGCATAGAGCATCTTGCCCTTCCTGACTTCTGGTACTCAGGTAGAAATGAGGCTAGGAATGTTCACTGGAGCCGCCACTTTCCAGAGGTCTCTTTATACCTTTCCCCTGGTCAATCCCCAACATTGGTATGCAGCTATGAGACTTGGAGATTCTACAGTCATCCTTACCATCAAAAAAGGATGAAGGCAACACATAGAAGAAGATCTAAGAGATAAGTCCTTTTGATATCATTTAGGGGAGTAACAAGGTAGAAGGAACCTACTTCTGTGGTGCCTTCATGAAGCATTGTGCCACGCAAGCCTAGGTAATTTTACAGGAAAGAAAAAAAGCTCTGTCTCCTCCAAAACACTCTTATATTAGGCCAATGGTACCTGCAACCAAGTTTGTATTCAATCTAACACATATCTAAAAATATAAGTATGAAATAATCAGTTAATTATGTTTAACATTGAAATGTTACCTATTTTTTGAACTAAACAGTAGACCCAAAAATCTTGTGAGAAAAAGGAGAGTATATCTTATTAGTGTCATATATTGTTTTCATTTATTTTAGAATTATGAAACCACTTAGTATTGCATATTTAAAGACATAAGGCATGTGGTGGGTTTTGACAGAATACTCTAAATAGCTGTAGTGTTCTTACTATTGCTTTAATGAATGTTGAAACTTCATGTGGAACATAATCAAATTTAATGACTATTAATAACTTTATTCCTCTATAATTAGCAAAATAATGCTTTGTCCTACAAATATAGTATGAAAGTCACTAATTACACATAAAAGCTATTTTTCAGTAGAGGTTTTAAAACTCATTGGTAGCTTAATGAAATTCATTGAGCTTAGCAATATAAGGAAAAAGTTGTTAATGCATTAAAAAATGTCATTTTGTTGATTTTTGCCTGATAGTAGAATAAACATAGACCATGTGTTAGAAATTCAATACTTTGAATATGCTGAAAAATAAAATGAAGAGTCTCACTCAATTCATAATTGGTTCTGGCACATATACCAACAGAGGGGCCCAAGACTAAGGTCTGAACTTTGTTAACGGGGCTGTGTATGAAACTTCTCCTGAGTCGTCATTCCTCTGTGTTAGTAAAGAATAGGTTCTTCCTTCTTTCTCTTCCAAATTTTCCCATTCCACAGATTCACACTGTCATTTCTCCAAGAAGCCGCTCCAGCTCCTACCACTGCATAGCAGGCCGTCTCACCTCAGAATTCACATACATACAGTCTGTACAACTTACCTCAGAAAAACACATGAAAACAGGAGCCAAGCTTCATATAATTTTGCAGAATTACTTTTTTATGCAATTATGGATTTTTCTATTACATTTTAAGCATTCTGGGTGCAATGGACATAGTTCTTGAGTATAAAATATATTTTAAAATATGTCTTTATTGTTTTGATATCTTGTACATTTCTGAGCACACAGACACTCTGTAAATATTTTGTTGAACTTAGTCTATAGTCATTTCTATTCTCTTCACTGAATAATTAATGGATATACTGACAGTATAAAACTGAACTACATATGAAAAGGAGCAATTTGATTACCTAATCCATTTTAAAACTGTTTTCATTTCCTTTTGAAACAAGTAAATAGAAACAGGTTCTTTATAGTTTTTATGTATGTATATGTAAAAGGACATATACAAAAGCTGATCAACTTCCATAAAATTGTAAGGCAAGAGTTATGATAATAATTTGCTTCTGAGTAATGATTTTAAAGTAAAATGAAGTAAGAGTTTGAGGCACAAAGTTTCAGTGCAGAGTGAGCATATTCCACCCTGTCTCTTTCACTGAATGCAGCTATAAAACCTGGATGGAATGCATGGAGCAACTATTTGATGTCTCTGAAAAGTAAGTAGTAGCACACAGATCAGTAAAAGAGACCAGAATTTGAAGTATCACGAACTCAGTGGTAAGTCTTCCATTTTTCCACTCCCATATCCCTCACCCTCATCTCAATGTAGCCTGAAGCAGAAGTGGGCACTGAGTTGCAGAGAGAGCTCAGGAAAAAACACTCGGGTTCTAGCTCAAGAAGTGGAAGAGAGAATTTCTAAAGCACAGAGAATGTGGAAACACCTTTTGTCCTTTCTCTAGTTTCTCAAACCTCATCCCACTAGCAATCCTGTGATGAGGTAGCAGCAGCAGTAGGAAAAGAAGCCCATTGAAACCCAGATTCTGAAGAGAGGAATCTTCTTTCCTCATTGGTGGAGCTGTGATCCCGAGAGGGTAGGGCACATTACCCAGTGCTTTTGTCTCTTGTTTCCCAGTCACTTGGCTTGAAATGCAGGTACAGTCATGGAAGCCCAACTTCCTGGGTCAGAAAAGTATCACCTTTCGGGTTGGAATACTGAAAAAGGGAGCCCCAGGAAACTGGATGTACTGGAGAGATAGGGGCAGGGGGAAGAGAAGCTCAGGAAAAAGTCCCTGAAAGTTGCTTATAACTTCATGGGATCACCCTCAAGTTTCAGAGTTATATTTTATCTTGATCAGCCTTTTAAAGAATTTGAGAAGTGAAATAACTTACAGACTGCCACCCTAGACTCTTGCCTGGCCACTTTGGGGGGCAGACATGTAGTATAAATGTTAATAGTACTGAATAGGCTTTAAAAATGGAACTGATTTTAGGACCAAAGCCCATAGAAGGTATATTGAAATATATATGTCCTGAACCTAACCAGGTTGATTGTTAAAACAAAAATATCAACATGCTTTATAGGATTTATAAGATGCAGAGTTTTATAACATCATGTTCAAAAAGTCCAGACAATAATCCAAAATTACTTGGCATATGAAGAACCAGGAAAACATCAACTCACACAGAAAAAGACAATCAGCTGAGGCCAAGGCAAAGATGACAAGATGTTGGATTATTTGACAAAGATTTTAAAGTGCCTATTACAAGGTTCTTCAACAGGCAATTTTGAACATTCTTAAAAGAGTGGGAAAATATAGATATGCCAAAAAAAAAAAAGGTGATAAGAAGAATATATAAAAATTTTGTAACTGAAAAATACATAACTGAAATTTTAAAAATTCACTGAATAGGATTAATATTAGAATGGAAATGGCAAAGGAAAGAATCAGTGAGCCTGAAAATAAAACGAGAGAAAATATCAAATCTGAATGCAAGAAAGAAAATAGATTTAAAAAATAAAGAAAAACATAGCCTCAGGGACATGTGAGATAATAAGAAAAGGTCTAACATTCGTGTCTTTAGAGAAGTGGAGAAGGTGATGCTGAAAATTTTTTTGAAGAGATAATAGTTGAAAATGTCCCAAATTATGTGAAAGTCATAAGGCTACAGATTTAAGGATCTAATCGAATCCTAAGTAAGATAAATTCAAATCCACCCACAAACACATCATAATGAAATGTCTGAAAACTAAAAACAGAGTGAAAAAGTCTTTATAGCAGCCAGAGGAAAATGATGCCTTGTCTACAGGGGAAGAACAATTCAAAAGACTGCAGATTTCTCGTCAGTAAACATGGAAACCAGAAGGAAGTAGAATGTTCTTAAAGTGCTTGAAGAAAAGAACTGTTAACTCATTATTCTATATTCAGTGAAAATGTCTGTCAGAAATGAAACTGAAAGAAACTCATTCTCAGATGAAAGAAAACTAAGAGAATTTATAATCAGCATATCTGCTCTGGAAGAATTGCTAAGTGAAATTCTTTCATTAGAGAGAAAAGTTACCAGAAGTAAACTTGGAAAATCAGAAATAAAGATAACAGAAATAATAAATATCTGAGTAAATATATTAATTATTATTTTACTATTGAGTTCTTTAAAATATGTTTGACAGTTGAAAGCAAAAATTCTAACACTGTCTGATGAGAATCTCAATGTATGTATATATATGAGACGACTAAAACATAAAAGTAGGGGAGTTAACGAGATCTACACAGTAATGAAATTTGCACTTTACTTGATGTGGTTAATAACTGATTCTAAGTAGACTATCAAAGTGTACAAAGATGTACAGTCTAAAGCAATGGAAAAATTCAAAACAACACTAAAAAGTGTTCAAATAACCCACAGGAAGGCATGAAGGGGAATCAACCAAACAAACAAACAAATAAAAACACAAGAATAAAACTCAAAAAAGATAATAAAATGGTGGGCCTAAAACCAAACATATCAATAATTACATTAAATAAAAATGCCCGGGCCGGGACATGGTGCCTCACACCTGTAACCCCAGCACTTTGGGAGGTGGCGGCGCATCCCTGTAATCCAGCTACTTGGCAGGTTGAGGCAGGAGAATCACTTGAACCCAGGCGGAGGAGGTTGCAGTGAGCCGATATGGCACCACTGTACTCCAAACTGTGCAATGGAGTGAGACTCCATCTTAAAAACAAAAAAATGCCCAAAGACCCCAATTTGAAAGACAGATATTATCCACGTGTGTGTGTATTTGTGTTTGTGTATCTGGATTCAATTTAAGAATATTTACATATATTAAAATATACATATTGTTTCTTTTTCTAGTATTTATATATACTTTTAAAATATATATTAAAAAAACAAAAGTTGAGATGTTAAATCTCTTCAAATGAATCTATATATTTTATGCAATTTCAACCAAAATCTCATGGAACTTTTTTATAGATACAAGCTGATCTTAAATATGTTTGGGGAAGAAAAGAAATGAGAATAACTAAAACCATTTTTAAGAAAACTAAAGTTGAAAAACATAATACAATCTAATTTTAAAACTTACTATAAGGTTATTGCAAGCAATACAGCATGGTACTGGCAAACAGATCATATTTCTAAATATAAAAGGTAAAATGTAAAATTTTTAGAAGAAAACAAAATCTTCATGACTTAGGGTTAGGCAATGAGTTCTTAGACATAATACTTTAAAAATACATTAATAAATTAGACTACATTGAAATTAAAAGGTATTGTTAAAATGAAAAAGATAAACTATGAACTGGAAAAAAATGTTAGCAAATCACGTAACAGAGAACTTATATCTAAATAAAAGAACTCTCAAACTCAAAAGTAAGAAACCAATTTAAAAGTGGGTAAAAGACTTGAACAGAGACTTTACCAAAGAGGATATAAGGATTGTAAACAAGCACATGAAAAGATTTTCATATCATTAGCCATTAGGAAAATGAAAAAACTGCAATGAGATACCACTACACACTATTAAAATGGATAAAAATTTTTTAAAAAGTCAATACCAACCACTGGCAAGGATACAGAGGAACTGGATTTATTTTACTTTGCTGGAGGGAATGCAAAGTGGTATAACCATTCTGAAAAACAGTCTGACAGTTTCTTACAAAGATAAACATACACTTACCAGATAATGCAGCAATGCCACTAAAGGGTAGAGAAATGTTTGAAGCACCCATATTCATTATTGTCAAAACCTTTCATTGCAAAACAACCCAAAGTTTCTCGAACACTTGAATGGAGAAAATATGGTATATTCACACAGTGAAAAGCTACTTAGCAATAAAAAAGAGCAAACTATTGACACACACAACAACATGCATGGATTTCAAAGTCATTATGCCGAGTGAAACAAGCCAGTCTTAAAAGGTTACATACTTTACAATTTCATTTATATGACATTCTGGAAAAGACACAACTATAATGATAGAAAGCAGATCAGTGGTTATCAGAGGTTTGGGGTGGTGGAAGCTTTATTCTAAAAGGATACATGAGGGAGTTCTGTGGGGGTGATAACATTGTCCCCTATCCTGATAGTGGTGCTGGTAATTGCACAAATCTATACATGTGTTAAAATTCATAGAACCAAAAACTAGTTAAATTTACTGTTTAATAAATTAAAAATTAAAATTAAAATGAATAATTGCAAACCAAATGACAATGTTAAAATGAAAGAAGTGAAAAAGAGAAAAGCATAATGATTACTATGCTTGCCACAACCATTATATATTTATAGTATCTACTTCTTTAATAGTGAAATAATAATACCATATATTCTGTTTCCCATGAATCCTGCATATAATATCTTTTTGTTCCCAGTGGATGTCCCAACACAGGATGCCTGACTGATGGCTATTGGTTCACATATTGTACACCACTTAAATATGCTGGGACGAGGAGAAATTTCTGTTTGGGGATTTTGGCCAGCTTCTGTGGCTTTTGAATTGTGAGGTACAAACCACCCACATGTCTTTTTCTATAAATTTGGTAATAAATTTCTCTCCCACATGAGTTGTACATGGCAACAAGAACATAAATGAAATACAGTCTGAGATGGAAGTGGGGCTGGGACTAGACTGGAGAATTCCTCATTTTCCATTTTCTGTCATTATATGGGTAAAAGCATTAACTGTTGTCCTGGCTAAGTTCCAGCTCAGGTAGTTACCTTCTTCCAAAAAATTTTCACTGTAGTTTTAATTGAACAATGTATTTTTTACTTCCTGTCTTAAATCATATGCCTATGCCTGTTTTCACCAGCTGCAGAAATACATCTACTCTGACCTAAAATTCAAGAGGCTGTGGATGTAATCGTTTTCAAAGAAAGAGCAGTACCCTTTTTTTAAAAAAGCATTTTATTCTTTTTCTCAATGAAAAAGAGCTAAGTAGCTTTACAGTAAGAAGCTCTCCCCTTCAATGGAAAGATAAATGATTGAACAGACTCTATATAAATATTTGATATCCTTGAGTCTTCCTGATACACAAAAAGCAGCAAGGCAGCAGACTTGTTAACATCTGATATTTTATGCAATACCTGAAAAAACGTTAGATCTCCATTTTTCATTCCCAGTGTCAAGGAGATGTCCACACTAGTAGAAATACTGACCAGTACCCATTCATATGTTTTCAGAAATGTTTTATCAGAAACTTTCTGGGCATCAGAAGCTAACGCTGAAGGCTAAATGGCAAGCCTAAGTGATTATAAGGTGTTTTAATAAAACATAAGGCGTTATGTGTTAGTCTGTTTTGCATTGCTTTACAGGAACACCTGAGGCTGGGTAATTTACAAAGAAAAGATGTTTATTTTGGCTTATGGTTCTGCAGACTGTACAAAAGCAGGGTGCAAGCATTTGCTTCTGGTAAGGGCCTCAGGAAACTTCCAATTGTGGCAGAAGTCAAAGAGGGAGCGGGCATGTCACATGGTAAGTGTGGGAGCAAGAGAGAGAGAGAGAGAGATGCCATACTCTAACAACCAGATCTTGTGGTAACTAATAGAGTGAGACTCACTAATTACCATGAGGACAGTCTCAAGCCATTCACGAGGGATCTACCCGCATGACCCTAACACCTTCCACCAGGTCCCACCTCCAACACTGTGGATTACATTTCAACATGAGATCTGGAGGAGACAAATATCCAAATCATATCACATTATTATGATAATTAGATATGACAGGCCTATTTTGAAACTGGATTAGGCCAGCAGTTCCCAAACTTGCTTGATTAGAATTACCGGGGGCACTTCCTTCAAAAACAGATTAACAGACCTCTCCTGGAAATCAGAGGAGAAGAGAAATTGTTACGTAAGAAAATTTGACCTTATAAACCCCTCCATCGTTCTTTCCAGTCCAAACTCCTCAAGCCAACTCCCCATCTGCCAGTGGCCTTCTCTGCTTGCTATCTCAAGCATAGCTACACACTGGAACTACCTGACAAGATTTCTAAATACTGATGCCAGTTCCACCACAACACATTCTGATTTGATGGATTTGAGAAGATGTGTAGCCATTGGCATTTTCAAAGTACTCAGCTAACTCTAATGTGCACCAAAAGTTGAGAACCACTGAATAAAGGTAGTTCTAAAATAATTTAGACTAAGGGTGATGATAATTCTACACTGGTTTTCTAAGAACACCAGAGCAGTACATTTGGCTCTGAAGAGATGTAATGACCAAGTGGGACGCACACGCTAACTGCAGAATGACAAAGATCTCAGCTGGAATCTCAGGTCTACCAGGTAAAATGAGATCTATTGACTCTTAGAAGATAATCTACCCTCAGTTTTCCAGTTATGTAATGGGAAATATAGTAGCTATTAATCAAACAGGTAAACCAACTAGTCTGCCAGATTCAACTTTCTCTTCTGGCTTATGCAGCCCTTTTACTATACCCAAGAAGTGATTGTCTTACAAATGAGGTGACCCTGTCTCCCTGTTTGTCTAGAAGCATCCTGTTTATCCTTATTGTTTTGGCATAATTAGTCATCATGCCAGCTTTTCTTCTCAAAAGTGTCCCAGTTTAGAATATAAACTAAGTAGTTACCTTACCTACATGCCACATTTTTCATTCATCACTTATAATTGACTGGACCAATGTGAGCAGCTGATCCATATATTGAACAGAGCCAATAGATTGTCTACATAACTTTATCTAAAATATGGAGTGTAGAGTTGTATAAGTTATCTAAGCTGCATAACAAATTACCTAAAATCATAGTGGCTTAAAACAACAAGATTTATTATTTCACATTTCTGCAGGCCAGGAATCCAGGTATGATTCCTTCAGAGTCTATCACTATAATAAGCTGTTCAGCAGTGGCTACGGTCATCCTAAGGCTCAACTGAAGAAGCATCAACATTCAGGTCACTTATGTGGTTGTTGGCAGGATTCAGTTCCTCACAAGCTGTTAGATTACGTACTTCAGTTTCTTACTGGCTGCTGGCAGGAGGCTGCCCTTGGTTTCTTGCTACATGGGTCTCTTCCAAAAAACAGATCCCAAGAAGGTAGCTTGCCCCCATCAAAGTGAATAAATGAGAAGAGCCAAAGAGAGAGTGAGAGAGAGCAAACAAGACAATATCCACAACCTTTTTTAAAACCCGATCTTGGATTTTATATCCCACCTCTTTTGCCATATTCTGTATGTTTGAAGTAAATCACTATGACCAGTCCACACTCAAAGGGAGGGGACTACACAGGGCATGAATACCAGGAGACAGGAATCATTGAGAACTATTTTAAAGGCTGCCTACCACACAAAGAGACTATAATCAAATAGTGGAGTTGAAAAGTCCAACAAAATTAGAGATAGATATGAAATGTGGCAAACCAATGTCATGAGTAAACTGCAGTTATGGAGTAGAAATAATTAAAAAGTAAAAAGATAAGAGTTGAAAAAAATAATGAAACAGATGCAAATACATCTGTTCAGAGTCTAGAGACTATTGTTGAAGGGTAATTCAGAGACACTTAAAAATTTCTTATGCAAATTATTTACATTTGAAGGAATCAGGTGGTAGACTACTGTATTAATCAGGATTTCCTAAGACACAGCACCAGTGGGTCACATATAGATATTTAAAAGATTTATCATTGGAATTAGCACATGCAATTATGAAGACCAAGAAGTCCCATAATCTGCCATCCACATGCTGGAGAACCAGGAAACCTGGTGGAATAAATCAGTCCAAGTCCAAAGCCCTGAGAACTAGAAGCTCTAACATTCTAGATGAGGAAAAAATAGCTGTCCCAGCTCAAGAAGAAAGAATAAAATTGCCCTTTCTTCTCTGTTTTCTTTTTGTCCTATTCAGGCCCTCAATGGATTGTATGATCCCCATCCAATTGAGGGTGGATATTCTTTATGCAATCTACTGATTCAAAAGGTAATCTTTTCTGGAAACACTCATAGACATACCCAGAAATAATGCTTTACCAGCTATCTGGGCATCCTGTAGCCCAGTCAAGTCGACATGCAAAATTAAGGATCACAACTGCCTCAGGAAGTGAAAGCAAAACAGGATTCAAAGAGTGAAAAGGGGGATGAAAAAAACCGCAGACAGTATGGGTGAAAAAAAATCTCACTTGTACATTTCTAGGGTAAACTGATTAGCTGCCAGCTAGCAAAGAGGTCAGTCAAGGCATTAGGTCCTTGATCAGGCTGACTAGGTAGATCAAGGAAAGCAATTTCACTTCTCTAGAAAACCTTGAGAGTTTATCTTTAAAACAAATGTGATAGTTGCCAGTGTATAAATTCTGCCAAGTCCATTTAAGCCTCCTTCTTCAACTATTTATACTTTTATTCTTTTGTCAGAGCTTTTCACCATGTAACTCCAAACTTACTGTCAGGCCTCTGAGCCCAAGCTAAGCCATCATATCCCCTGTGACCTGCACATACACATCCAGATGGCCAATTCCTGCCTTAACTGATGACATTCCACCACAAAAGAAGTGAAAATGGCCTGTTCCTGCCTTAACTGATGACACTGTCTTGTGAAATTCCTTCTCCTGGCTCATCCTGGCTCAAAAGCTCCCCCACTGAGTACCTGGCGACTCTCACTCTGCCTGCCAGAGAAAAACTCCCCTTTGACTGTAATTTTCCTTTATCTACCCAAATCTTATAAAATGGCCCCACCCTTATCTCCCTCCCCTGACTTTCTTTTCAGACTCAGCCCACCTGCACCAGGTGAAATAAACAGCCATGTTGCTCACACAAAGCCTGTTTGGTGGTCTCTTCACACAGACGTGCATGAAATTTGGTGCTGTGACTCGGATCGGGGGACCTCTCTTGGGAGATCAATCCCCTGTCCTCCTGCTCTTTGCTCCGTGAGAAAGATCCACATATGACCTCAGGTCCTTAAACCAACCAGCCCAAGAAACATCTCACCAATTTCAAATCCAGTAAGCGGCCTCTTTTTACTCTCTTCTCCAACCTCCCTCACTATCCCTTAACCTCTTTCTCCTTTCAATCTTGGTGCCACACTTCAGTCTCTCCCTTCTCTTAATTTCAATTCCTTTCATTTTCTGGTAGAGACAAAGGAGACACATTTTATCTGTGGACCCAAAACTCTGGCGCCGGTCACGGACTAGGGAAGGCAGCCTTCCCTGGGTGTTTAATCATTGCAGGGACACCTCTCTGATTATTCACCAAAGTTTCAGAGGTGTCAGACCACGCAGGGATGCCTGCCTTGGTCCTTCACCCTTAGCGGCAAGTCCCGCTTTTCTGGGGAAGGGGCAAGTACCCCAACCCCTTCTCTCCCTGTCTCTACCACTTCTTCACCTTTCTAGGGGGCAAGAAACCCCCAACCCCTTCTTCACCCTTAGCAGCAAGTCCCACTTTTCTAGGGGAGAGGCAAGTACCCCAACCCCTTATATCTCTCTGCCCCGATCCCTTAATTCCGTGCCCCAACCCCTTATATCTCTGTGCCCCGATCCCTAATTTCCGCACCCCAACCCCTTATATGTCTGCGCCCTGATCCCTTATTTCCGTGCCCTGACCTCATATCTCTGTGCCTCGACCCCTTTCCCACTTTTCTGGAGGGTAAGAACCCCCGAACCCCTTCCCTCCCTGTCTCTACTCTCTCTTTTCTCTAGGCTTGCCTCCTTCACTATAGGCAACCTTCCACCCTCCATTCCTCCTTCTTCTCCCTTAGCCTGTGTTCTTAAGAACTTAAAATCTCTTCAACTCTTACCTGACCTAAAATCTAAGCACCTTATTTTCTTCTGCAACACCGCTTGGCCCCAATACAAACTTGACAATGGCTCTAAATGGCCAGAAAATGGCACTTTCGATTTCTCCTTCCTACAAGACCTAAATAATATTTGTCGAAAAATGGGCAAATAGTCTGAGGTGCCTTGCGTCCAGGCATTTTTCACACTTCGTTCCCTCCCTAGTCTCTGTTCCCAATGCGATTCCTCCCAGATCCTCCTTCTTTCCCTCCCGCCTGTCCCCTCAGTCCCAACCGCAAGTGTCACTGAATCTTTCAAGTCTTCCTTTCCTACAGACCCATCTGACCTTTCCTCTCTTCCCCAGGCTGCTCGTCGCCAGGCCGAGCTAAGTCCCAATTCCTCCTCAGCCTCCGCTCCTCCACCCTATGATCCTTCTACCACCTACCCTCCTCACACCCGGTCCGGCTTACAGCTTAGTTCCGTGACTAGTTCTTCCCCACCTGCCCAACAATTTCCTCTTAGAGAGGTGGCTGGAGCTGAAGGCATAGTCAGGGTACATGTACCTTTTTCTCTATCAGACCTCTCTCAGATCAGTCAGTGTTTAGGCTCTTTCTCATCAGACCCCACTAAATATGTACAGGAATTCCAATATCTAACTCTGTCCTGCAATTTAACCTGGAGTGACTTAAATATCATCCTGACTTCTACCCTCTCCCCAGATGAACAGGAAAGAGTTTTTTCCCTAGCCCAATCTCACGCTGATAACCGCTGGCTTCATGAGCCAGACCTCCAGGAAGGCATTAGAGCAGTTCCCCAAGAAGATCCCCAAAGGAACTACCAGGCAAATTCCCCAGGTATAGCTAGGCGAGATTACATGGTTTCCTGCCTAGTTGAAAGGCTTAAAAAGGCAGCTTACAAAGCTGTTAATTATGACAAGCTTCAAGAAACTACCCGAGGTAAAGATGAAAACCCAGCCCAGTTCATGGCCCGCTTAGCGGCAACCCTTAGACGCTTTACCACCCTAGACCCAGAGGGGCCAGAAGGCCGCCTTATTCTTAATATACATTTTATTATCCAATCTGCTCCCGACATTAAATAAAACTCCAAAAATTAAATTCCGGCCCTCAAACCCCACAACAGGATTTAATTAACCTCGCCTTCAAGGTGTACAATAATAGAAACAAGTTGCAATTCCTTGCCTCCACTGTGAGACAAACCCCAGCCACATCTCCAGCGCACAAGAACTTCCAAATGCCTGAACCGCAGTGGCCAGGCGTTCCTCCAGAACCTCCTCCCACAGGAGCTTGCTACAAGTGTCAGAAATCTGACCACCAGGCCAAGGAATGCCTGCAGCCCAGGATTCCTCCTAAGCCACGTCCCATCTGTGCAGGACCCCACTGGAAATCGGACCGTTCAACTCACCTGGCAGCCACTCCCAGAGCCCCTGGAACTCTGGCCCAAGGCTCTCTGACTCCTTCTTGGCTTAGCGGCTGAAGACTGACGCTGCCGGATCGCCTCGGAAGCCCCACAGACCATCACGGATGCCGAGCTTCGGGTAACTCTCACAGTGGAAGGTTAAGTCCGTCCCCTTAGTCAATACGGAGGCTACCCACTCCACATTACCTTCTTTTCAAGGGCCTGTTTCCCTTGCCTCCATAACTGTTGTGGGTATTGACGGCCAGGCTTTTAAACCCCTGAAAACTCCCCCACTCTGGTGCCAACTTGGACAACACTCTTTTATGCACTCTTTTTTAATTATCCCCACCTGCCCAGTTCCCTTATTAGGCTGAGATATTTTAACCAAATTAGCTGCTTCCCTGACTATTTCTAGGCTACAGCCACACCTCATTGCCACCTTTTCCCTAGTTCAAAGCTTCCTTCACATCCTCGTCTCATATCCCTCCACCTTAACCCACAAGTATAAGATACCTCTATTCCCTCCTTGGTGACCAATCACACACCCCTTACAATCTCATTAAAACCTAATCACCCTTACTTCCCTCAATGCCAATATCCCATCCCACAGCACACCTTAAAAAGATTAAAGCCTGTTATCACTCGCCTGCTACAGCATGGCCCTTTAGAGCCTATAAACTCTCCTTACAATTCCCCCATTTTACCTGTCCTAAAACCAGACAAGGCTTACAGGTTAGTTCAGAATCTGCGCCTTATCAACCAAATTGTTTTGCCTATCCACCCCGTGGTGCCAAACCCGTATACTCTCCTATCCTCAGTACCTCCCTCTACAACCCATTATTCTGTTCTAGATCTCAAACATGCTTTCTTTACTATTCCTTTGCACCCTTCATCCCAGCCCCTCTTCGCTTTCACCTAGACTGACCCTGACACCCATTAGGCTCAGCAAATTACCTGGGATGTACTGCCGCAAGGCTTCACAGACAGACCCCATTACTTCAGTCAAGAACAAATTTCATCCTCATCTGTTACCTATCTCAGCATAATTCTCATAAAAACACACGTGCTCTCCCGCTGATCGTGTCCAATTAATCTCCCAAACCTCGATCCCTTACAAAACAACAACTCCTTTCCTTCCTAGGCATGGTTAGTGCGGTCAGAATTCTTACAGAAGAGCCAGGACCACACCCTGTAGCCTTTCTGTCCAAATAACTTAACCTTACTGTTTTAGCCTAGCCCTCATGTCTGCGTGCAGCAGCTGCCGCTGCATTAGTACTTTTAGAGGCCCTAAAAATCACAAACTATGCTCAACTCACTCCCTACATTTCTCATAACTTCCAAATCTATTTTCTTCCTCATACTTGACGCATATACTTTCTGCTCCCCGGCTCCTTCAGCTGTACTCACTCTTTGTTAAGTCCCACAATTACCATTATGCCTGGCCCGGACTTCAATCCGGCCTCCCACATTATTCCTGATACCACACCTGACCCCCATGACTGTATCTCTCTGATCCACCTGACATTCACCCCATTTCCCCATATTTCCTTCTTTCCTATTCCTCACCCTGATCACGCTTGATTTATTGATGGCAGTTCCACCAGGCCTAATCTCCACACACCAGCAAAGGCAGGTTATGCTATAGTACAAGCCACTAGCCCGCCTCTTTGAACCTCTCATTTCCTCTCCATCGTGGAAATCTATCCTCAAGGAAATAACTTCTCAGTGTTCCATCTGCTATTCTACTACTCCTCAAGGATTATTCAGGCCCCCTCCCTTCCCTACACATCAAGCTCGAGGATTTGCCCCACCCAGGACTGGCAAATTAGCTTTACTCAACATGCCCCGAGTCAGATAACTAAAATACCTCTTAGTCTAGGTAGACACTTTCACTGGATAGGTAGAGGCCTTTCCTACAGGGTCTGAGAAGGCCACTGCAGTCATTTCTTCCCTTCTGTCAGACATAATTCCTCAGTTTAGCCTTCCCACCTCAATACAGTCTGATAACAGACCTGCCTTTATTAGTCAAATCAGCCAAGCAGTTTTTCAGGCTCTTGGTATTCAGTGAAACCTTTATATCCCTTACAGTCCTCAGTCTTCAGGAAAAGTAGAACGGACTAAAGGTCTTTTAAAACCACACCTCACCAAGCTCAGCCACCAACTTAAAAAGGACTGGACAATCCTTTTACCACCTTCGCTTCTCAGAATTCAGGCCTGTCCTCGGAATGCTACAGGGTACAGCCCATTTGAGCTCCTGTATAGACGCTCCTTTTTATTAGGCCCCAGTCTCATTCCAGACACCAGACCACCTTAGACTGTGCCCCAAAAAAACTTGTCATCCCCACTATCTTCTGTCTAGTCATACTCCTATTCACCGTTCTCAACTACTCATACATGCCCTGCTCTTGTTTACACTGCCAGTTTACACAGTTTCTCCAAGCCATCACAGCTGATATCTCCTGGTTCTATCCCCAAACTGCCACTCTTAACTCTTGAAGTAAATAAATAATCTTTGCTGGCAGGACTATGCTGAATCTCCTTAGGCACTGTCTAATCAGATGTCCTGAGTCGTCCCAATTCTTCGATCTTTTATACCTGTTTTTCTCCTTCTCTTCTTCCATTTAGTTTTTCAATTCATAGAAAACTGTATCCAGGCCATCACCAATAATTCTAAATGACAAATGTTCCTTCTAACAACCCCACAATATCACTCCTTACCACAAAATCTTCCTTCAGCTTAATCTCTCCCACTCTAGGTTCCCACACCACCCCAATCCCGCTTGAAGCAGCCCTGAGAAGCATCGCCCATTATCTCTCCATACCACCCCCAAAAATTTTCACTGTCCCAACACTTCAACACTATTTCATTTTATTTTTCTTATTAATATAAGAAGACAGGAATGTCAGGCCTCTGAGCCCAAGCTAAGCCATCATATCCCCTGTGACCTGCACATACACATCCAGATGGCCGATTCCTGCCTTAACTGATGACATTCCACCACAAAAGAAGTGAAAATGGCCTGTTCCTGCCTTAACTGATGACATTGTCTTGTGAAATTCCTTCTCCTGGCTCATCCTGGCTCAAAAGCTCCCCCACTCTGCCCGCCAGAGAACAACTCCCCTTTGACTGTAATTTTCCTTTATCTACCCAAATCCTATAAAATGGCCCCACCCTTATCTCCCTTCCCTAACTCTCTTTTCGGACTCAGCCCACCTGCACCCAGGTGAAATAAACAGCCATGCTGCTCACACAAAGCCTGTTTGCTGGTCTCTTCACACGGATGCACATGAAACTTAACACAGTCAGATGACTTACCATGTTTCCAAAGTTCCCACTATATTTTAGAATCCATGCCATGAAATCCCTCTGGGTTTATTGTGTTTAAGCTAATTCTGATGGATTTTTGTTCCTCCAACCAAAGAGTCTTCACTAAAGCAATTTGACTGAGTTATTGAAAAGATTAAATAACATAGTGTGGATAAATTATGTGGAACTTAATTGGAACCTATAAGTAGTAGTTGTTTTCAAGCTATGAGTACAATTATTGAAGAGACTAGACAGATGGAAACATGTGCATGAGAAAGTGAAGAAGTGATTAAACAATCTCAAAATCGTATCTCATGAAGAATGACTGAAGGAGCCAGAGAGTTTAGCCAGGACAAGAGAATCTCAGATGGTATATGGCTTTTTTTCTAAATGCTGACAGTCAATCATATAAATGATGATTCCATAGACAGACATAAAAGCATAAACCTATGAGGAAGCTGTGAGAGGGTAGATGAAAGTGTTTTAGGGGGTAGGGCTTTCTTCAGCATGGAAAGAATTCAAGCATAAGCAGCTTGTTGGAAACGCTATATATTAAAACCAGATTGTGGGGGAAAAGAAAGATCAGATTGTTACTGTGTCTGTGTAGAAAGAAGTAGACATAGGAGACTCCATTTTGTTCTGTACTAAAAAAAAATTATTCTGCCTTGAGATACTGTTAATCTGTAACCCTACCCCCAATCCTGTGCTCCCTGAAACATGTGCTGTGTCAACTCAGGGTTAAATGGATTGAGGGCTGTGCAGGTGTGCTTTGTTAAACAAATGCTTGAAGGCAGCATGCTTGTTAAGAGTCATCACCACTCCCTAATCTCAAACCAGTCCCTAATCTCAAGTACGCAGAGACACAAAACACTGCGGAAGGCCGCAGGGACCTCTGCCTAAGAAAGCCAGATATTGTCCAAGGTTTCTCCCCATGTGATAGTATGAAATATGGCCTCATGGGAAGGGAAAGACCTGACCGTCCCCCAGCCCGACACCTGTAAAGGGTCTGTGCTGAGGAGGATTAGTAAAAGAGAAAGGAACACCTCTTTGCAGTTGAGATAAAAGGAAGGCTTCTGTCTCCTGCTGGTCCCTGGGCAATGGAATGCCTCGGTGTAAAGCCGACGTATATTCCATCTACTGAGATAGGGGAAAACTGCCTTAGGGCTGGAGGTGGGACATGCTGGCAGCAATACTGCTCCTTAAGTCATTGAGATGTTTATGTATATGCACATCAAAAGCACAGCACTTTTTTCTTTACCTTGTTTATGATGCAGAGACATTTGTTCATGTGTTTACCTGCTGTCCTTCTCTCCACTATTATCCTATGATCCTGCCACATCCCCCTCTCTGAGAAACACCCAATAATGATCAATAAATACTAAGGGAACTCAGAGGCCGGTGTGGATCCTCTGTATGCTGAACGCCGGTCCCCTGGGCCCCCTTTTTCTTTCTCTATACTTTGTGTCTCTTTCTTTTCCAAGTCTCTCATTCCACCTAACGAGAAACACCCACAGGTGTGGAGGGGCAACCTACCCCTTCACCAGATGATACATAAGGTCTTTTCAATCCTAAACTTATATGATTTTGTAAAACAAGGGGAGAATTCTTTTCTCTGTATGTTTTGATTTTCTATTCTGTAAAATAGCTAGGATAGTGACTGCCTTTTCCAGCTGCAGTTGTTGAAAGAATGCACTGAAGCCTTAATAGAATATACAATGTTCCACAAAATATAAATTGAAGAATAAACCTCTGAATTAAAATCTCCATAAATACATGAAGTGTTTATTTTTACTCTTTAAATGAAATATTTCTTGAGTTCCGACTATGCACCAAACACTCCTATAAGTACTTAAAATGCATTAGTAAATGAAGCAGATAAAATAGTGACAACTTATTTTTACATACAATGTCATAACAGGGAAGAATGGTGAAAACCAAACCAGTTTTTAATCATCTGGGAAGCTGTAACCATGATAAAGCTACAACATGAACCTAGGATTCAACCACAAAATTAAGGAAAAAGAAAAAAATTGTTGATCAGCACCAATTAGCAGGGCCTGGAAGTCCATAGGCAAGACTCGTTTTAAAAAGAGAGAGAGAGAGAGAGACTAATAGAGGCTTAATCTCAACCTTCCCAGTCTCCACCATTAATAAGACTAGCTTTACCATTTGGCCTTCTCAGTACCTCCCTGCTTGTATTCCCAAGGCTTGCAGTCTCTCAACACTATCTACAAAGAAAGTGTTTAGGCCCTATTTCTCTAATCAGGGATAATATGATAACTGGACCACTGATTCCCATTACTCCCACTACTGCTCTTTGAGAATTTCTGTTCATTTGAAAAATATATACTGAGAGGCTCTTTAAGAATCAGGCATATAGTATGATATGGTGTGTGTGTGTGTGTAATATGTATGTGTGTATTTGTATATTTGTGTGCAAGGAAATTAACAATTTCCTTCTTAGATCAAAACATTGGTCTTCATATCACAGGTAGGTATCAGAATTAACTACAGGCTCTCCCAATACACCCACATATATTCTGATTCAGTAGATCTGAACAAGTGAAATTTGGAAAAGTAATTCTGGTAGATATACTGGATTCCAAATCATTGTATTAAAAACATAACTAGATTAAAAAATAATATAACAAAGCTTTCTCTTCCACCATGCTATCCCATCTCTGGCAAAATCTTCAGCTTATTTGATTAAAGTAAATGATGTGCATAATTTAGTGTTTATTTCATGCTCATTCATAACATAGGCCTTCATTTAAAGCACTGTGATATTTTACTTTTATTATTACAATTCTATAAATGAAAGAGACCTTATTCAATAAATGGTGCTAGGAAAATTAGATAGCCATATGGAGAAGAATGAAACTAGACCTGTATCTCTCATCATATATAAAAGTCAACTCAAGATGGATTAAAGACTTAAATGTGAGACCTGAAACTATAAAGATTCTAGAAGAAAGCCTAGGAAAAACTCCTCTGGACATTGGCCTAGGGAAAGAATTTATGACTAGGTCTTCAGTGCAAATGCAACACAAACAAAAGTGGACAAATGGGACTTAATTAAACTAAAAATCTTCTTCATAGCAAAAGAAATAATCAACAGACAAGATACAGAATGGGAGAAAATATTTTCAAACTATGCATATGACAAAGGGCTAATATCCAGAACATACAAGGAACTCAAACAACTCAACAAGAAAAAAAAAATCCCATTAAAAAGTGTGCAAACATGTTTCAATAGAAGACATCTAAGTGGCCAAAAACATATGAAAAAATGCTCAACATCATGAATCATTAGAAAAATGCAAATTAAAACCACAACAAGACATCATCTTATATTAAAAGTCAAATAACAGATGTTGGCAAGGATGCAGAGAAAAGGGAATGCTTATATGCTGTTGGTGGAAATGTAAATTAGTAAAACCTCTATGGAAAACAGTATGGAAATTTCTTAAGGAACTATAAATAGAACTACCATTCAACCCAGCAATCCCACTACTGGGTATCTACCCAAAGGAAAAGAAATCATTATATTAAAAACACACCTGCACTTGTATGTTTATCACAGCACTATTCACAACAGTCATTAAATCAACCTAAGTGTCCGTCTGCAGATGACTGAATAATGAAAATGTAGCATATATATACCATGGATGCTCCTCAGCCATAGAAAATAATAAAATCATGTCTTTTGCAGCAACATGGATGAAACTGGAGACCATTCTCCTGAGTGAAATAATCCAAAACAGGGTCAAAATACCACATATTCTCACTTAAAAGTGGGAGCTAAACAATAGGTACATATGGATATGCAGAGTGGACAAATAGATGTTGGAGACTCCAAAAGGTGGGAGGAGAGTAAGGACTGAAAAATGATATATTGGGTACAATGTTCACTATTTAGGTGATGGGTACATTAAAAGCCCAACTTTACCACTATACAATATAGTCACATAATAAATCTGCATGTGTACTCTCGAAACCTATTTTTAAAATTTTAAGAATTTTATTTTTTAAATCTTTAATTGTTTATAGCCTTGTTTTTCCTAAGTCATTCTAATGTAAAAGTGTACAATCAGAGAGCTATAACAATTGTAACTCAAATCAACTTGAATAACTATAATGGCAGGTGACAAAGTCATCCATAGCTTTGCTGAATAGAATGTTTTTAAGTAGGAAAGGGATGTAGGGCTTATAATACGTTACCTTTTCTATTCACAATTTCCATTCACATTGGTATGTGGCTCTGTTTATCTCTCCTGAACTGTCTAAGGCCTCTATGCACTGCTGCATTATTGTTGCTGCTTCATTAAAAGAAGCTGACAGGTCTCTCAGCATACCCTTCTATTAACATGCACTCCAGAATGCACAGGTTATTTTCATTCTGATGAAAACTACATCACACTTGATCTGAGCTGTTCTCCCTGTAGAATAACAAAGCCAAAATACAAACACCCTTCCCCCATCCCCTCAATCCCTACCGCTTCTACTGTTCTTTTGGGTTATACTGAATCACCATCAGGTTTATTAATTTATTTTAAGGCAAAAGTAAGTAAGCCATACAGCATATTACAGCAGACACAAAAACTGTAATATATTTTCTATGGAAAATCCTGAATTTTAAAAGATATTTAGTGGGTTTCTAAGAAAGTGATAAAACAGCTGGTTTTTCTGAACACTAGGAACTAGGATTTTATAGTAGAGAAAAATGGGCTGTGGAGACAGAACAATCTCGGTTTGAATCCTGGATCTTAGGCTAGAGTAATTTCATATTTGCCTCAGTTTCCTTAAATATAAAATAAGATTTAAATACCAGCCATTCAAGGTTGTTGAAACAATCAGTAATGACATAGAATAAGCTCCTAATACAGTCTGTATATAATAACTACAAATATGTCTACTAAATAAGTAAATGTCTGCATGAGAAAACATTTGTCCTCCAAAATATACATATTTCAGTGGGTAGATGGGTGAATTTTTTAAAAAACTGCACATATTATGAAAGCCCACTATATAGAATATGTTGTAAAGCATTACAAAACCATCCAGAGGGACAATATAAAGTCTTTCAGTTACTCCTCAAGTACTTTGTCTATGTACTATCAAAACCTAGAATGAATGATGGAGTAATTAAATGCATAGGTTATCTTCTTCCTATCTTCATTGAGGTTACAGGTATATAATGAGTCATACTTTCTGAGGATGACCTTCAGGCTACTCATTAATTTTTCTTCCCCTTTTTGTTTTTGCTGGTAATTTACCAGAACAATAGATCTCTGAAGAAAAAAAGAAAGAGACAGAAAGGAGGAAAAAGATAAAGGAAGGAGAGAAAAAGGAGGATGAAGGAAGAGAGCACAAAAGAGGAAGAAGGAAAAAAAAGAAAAGAAAAAAAGAAGTCATGAATTTTTTTAAACTCTAAGATTTGGTTTAATCTGATTTAAGAACAAGCTGTGTTATAACTCTCCTTTATAAATTAGTTTTGTTGTTGTTTTTATCTTAACCAAATGATTGGTGGAGAATGACTTTAATAAGTTTATAAAGAAATTCATAACTTGGACTTGCTTTTTTATGAATTCACTGTCATCTTTTCTTAATTATATGAGAAATACATGAATCCACCCTATTTGTAAAATATTCAAGTAATACACATGCCAAAACATGACATTATTCTGCTACCTCCATCTGTTCTAATTCTTTCTCACTATTACCAGTCTTTTCCCCATGCTCTAATATAAATATAAAAAATACATTCACATTAATACATTTCTTTTACAAAAATGAGATCTTGTCATGTGTATTGTTCTGGAACCTTGATTTTTACACTTTGCTAATCTTCCTAATCTTTATGGGCAAGGGTTACAATACACAACACTACAATTAACTGACAATGTGTGTGATCTAAAAGTCCAAAAAGCTGGACTAATAAATACATAAGAGTTATCACAGTTTAAACTTCCAAATGTTCTCTCCTCACTCTTATGCCACTAATGTTCTCTGGCTTCCTTCACATTTTTATGTTGATCTTTTCTATTCTTCCATCATATTCTTATTTTCTGGTTTGATACAATCTATTTCTCTGAGACCTCAGGGACATTTGGGAAATTTCTCTCTATTGTTGCAAAGTAAACAGGTTTCCTAGAATTCCTATGCTAAATAAATCGCTACTATGTCCATGGCAAGACAGGTGCTGCAGTGGCACTTTGTGTGTATGTTACATGGACATTGCCCCAGCAATGGGGTTGCATATCAGAATCTGGAGTAGTGCAGAAAAGGCCAGTATCGTTAGAAACCAATGGGTATCTTATTTCATTGCTAGGGTCTATATTTATATTATATTAAATTTATTCTAAAATTTCAAACAATGTTAAATGTAGTTGTTGGATTTCTGTGTTAATCAAAAAGTGGAAAAAGGATGAGTTCATATCCTTTGTAGGGACATGGATGAAGCTGGAAACCATCATTCTCAGCAAACTATCACAAGCACAAAAAACCAAACACTGCATGTTCTCACTCACAGGTGGGAATTGAACAATGAGAACACTTGGACACAGGAAGGGGAACATCATACACCGGGGCCTGTCATGGGGTCGGGGGAGGAGGGAGGGATAGCCTTAGGAGATATACCTAATGTAAATGACGAGTTAATGGGTGCAGCACACCAACATGGCACATGTATACATATGTAACAAACCTGCACATTGTGCACATGTACCCTAGAACTTAAAGTATAATTTTTAAAAAAAGTGGAATTACCTAAATCACTGAGAAAAACTATGTGAGAAAGATTACCAAACAGAGTATTTCTAACAAATGCAAGTTTTTGAGGCTTTAGACGTTGTTGGTGTATTCTGCCAATACTCCTTGGATTTACACATTTTCTATTAGCCATACTCTGAATTAGTTGAAAGGAAAAAAGTGGACTTTAATTGTGATTTTCGGTGTTCATTTGCTAAGAAAACTTTTAATCTACTAGAGACCAATGGTGCTTCTGATCTTAATTTTGACATGCTTTCTAAATGGAGTTCATATAGAGCCATGGCTTAGTGCAGCATAATTAGACACTGCAAGTCAAGAAGCCTCGGGTTTAAATCGTGGCCCTTCTTACTCCCAGCTGGGTAACCTTGTTTGTATTACCAAATATCTTTAAGCTCAGTTTCCTCATTTGTGAAAGGGAATAACAATGACACCTTCTTACAGGGTCGCTGAGTGAAATTTCACTAGATAAATAATTAAAGTTCCATAGCATCATGTCTGGCAAAAAAAAATGAACAAGTAATAAATAGAGATATTGTTATGTTCATTTTCTTCATATATTCTATTTTTAGTTTCCTTGTTATCTTACAATGAAATAGTACAATTCATTAATATATGCTATTTTCAAAATTGTACTGTTACTGAGAATCTGAAAATGTCATTTATTTAATATGAGTATTCTAGTTCCTTTAATGCAGCTTCAGAGTTTTGGGAGACTTCCTCTTTCTTTCTGTATTTTGCCAACACAGGCCACATCTCCTAGATACAAAGTGATGGTCACTTTGTTGTAGTTTTCAAGCATTGATATAGATGTATTATACTCTTCCCATAGAAAAAAAAGCAAGGGAGAAATTTCAGCAGTGACAAATTTTAATTTTTGGAAAAATCGATAAACAGAAATAAATGTCAACAAAATGTGTTCAATGTATACATCAAAAAGAAGCAAGGTAAATAGAAAGGAAGTATAATATGGCAGGGCCAGAAAAGTAACAGGAATATCTGTGACACTATAATATCCTTCTCTTGAGAAATGAACTGCATCAAGTCAGCCTTGAATATTTACACAACCTCTCATCTGGTGTACTATGGGGACAAGAAGAAGCTCATGACCAAAACTATGCCTTCAGTTGCCTGTCACATTGCCTGAAATGTCACTATTAGAATTTTTATATTTGTTCTTTCTTAAAAAGCAATGTCCAGGGAAGACAACACATCATAAGTTATTCTGAGTCTTTGCATAAGAGAAAATGATTAAAGCAAATTTAGAGTAACGCACTCTGGGTACAGCAAATAGGCTAGGTGTCTAAAAAAGAGGAACAAAGGTTTCTGGCATGGCAAGTTAATGTGTGTATGTGTGAGAAGTGAAACTGAAAAGCTAGATGAGGGAAATGATTATTTCTAAGATAAAAGTTAAAATAGCCAGAAAAGGCAGCATTTTTTTCTCTTTCACTTAAGAAAATGACCTACAAGCCATTGTTACACCTGAGCCCTCCAGAACAGAATTGTAACCGCATCTATCTTCACTGATAAGAGAAAATTTATCAGAAACTCAGGAGTTGGGTAACCTTGCAAGTATTGCTACAGCTATAGGCTCCCTGATTTATGGCAATGTTAGGAAGCTGGGCCTTTTCCTTTCTGAAGTACTGCAACATGCTATAAAAGGGCATTCTGAATCACAAGGCATAAAACAGCATGTCAAGGGAGGGATATTCCAAGTCAGAAATAATGGCGATAAATCAGGAACAGTGAATGTGGCTATATGGTTTTATTTTGTTAAATAAAGTCTTTGCTACACTTTTTAGTATACTCTGTTGGAAACTAAACCCATGACAGTTACATGCAACTGGAGGGATTGGCCTTTTTAATAAGTATTATCTCAAAAATGATACACTATGCTGCACTCCAATATTGGAGAAGCAAGTGAATATTTTGAAGGGATATGTATTTTCAAGGGCTATCTATATCTATATCCATAGATATATATGGATATAGATATAGATAGCCCTTGAAATGTAGAGATATATGTGTATATACATATATATATACCTATACACATTTATCTCTACATGTGTCTTTGATAATTTAACTGAAGTTTGCTCTTATTTTAAAAATAAACTATAGTTTACCTGTAAATATATAGATATAAATAAGCTGATTCAATTGTTAATTCTCAGTGGGACTTGTGTGTGTGTGTATGTGCACATGTTTTAATTTTTAAATTCTCAAAATGTAAAACACAAATTTAGTACAGGAAGTTCAAAGTATAATCAATCATTGAATAAATCAGGCATGAATACTAATACTTTCCTAAAGAATATTCTTAATATCTTGATTAGAATTGAATCAATGTTAAAACTGTTTCTCTATTGTTTATCAGATTTCAGAGCAGTTCAATACTTGAATAGTTACTTGTAAATATTTGTAAAATTTTCAAACTCAAATAATCATGGAGTACAAATGGCCATCTGTGTTGCCATTCATTACATCCTAGGGTAGACCCTTGGTTGTCAGAGCTTTAAAATTTACTATATTGAGTACTTATAAGTGACCTGAAAGTCCACGATGTCAAATAATTTTCAGTTTGTCCATGGCATAAGTTGCCACGTCTCAGCTTTCAGTGCCCTAAACCAAATGCTCCTGTGGCTTCATGTGCTCTTGGCTGTAACTCACATGTTTGATGTTTATATGTGGAAAAGAACCCTCTCCCACAAAGTAAATAATTCAACAAGCAGAAGCCAACTGCTAGTACTTGTGAGGGTAATAAAGAGAATGAGGAAGAGGGCTAATTAATTATTAGACTTAAATCAGAAGTTTGAGATAAATAAAAAACTGGAATTTTCAATGACACTGAATTATGTTTATTATTTTACTATGTACTCTGCACACACACACAAAAGCAAAAGTGGTTTGCAAAACTTGTCCAGTCTTCCAACTAGTGCACAATTGTCCATCAATTTATTTATCCTCAATTCAGACAGAAAACTGGAATCAAAATGGAAAAGATGATAATTTTATGCTGTAAAAATGTGCAGTTATCAATGATTCTCAATGGAAGAGTAATACACATGAAAAGCTTTTACAATTTCTTCATGTTTGTGATTTTGAGGTATCATGAAGGAATCTGATCGATGTATCTTTCACAAACGTCAATGTGAGAATAGCCTTTTCCTTTCTTTTGAAGAGGGAAGGTGGCATAAGAAAAGTTTATGCCCTAAAGAATCAAATAAACCTAAATTCTAATCCAAGCATCACTTTTGTATTAGTCATGGAAACTTCAATAACTACTTAACCTCTTTAAGTCCTAGTTCCCCATCTGAAAATGTGACTAAAAATTGGTCTGAGTATTAAATGAAGTAGTGCATCCAAATTGCCTGAACATGAAAGCATTAAGTACAGTGTTTTTGTTTTTTAAGGCAAGTGGCATCCTCTCGAAATCTATCCTCTAAATCTGTCTACTAATGGATTCTGTATTACTATCCATCAGTAGACAGTTGTGGCATATCCAAAATTGAAGGTACAGTTTATGGCCATGAGTCATGTATAAAGTCTTATCTTCCAAGGTAACTAATTCATCAATTAATTATTGATAACACTTTTAAGTAATAACTAGCCAGGTAAACCAATAATTACATGAATTTTTAAAAAGCAGTTAGAGTTAATTCATAAAATAAATTTTTTCATTTATTATTCAAATTCCAAAGCCTGTTTATTTATTCATTGAAATGTAGTAAGCCACTTAATTAGAATGTTGCTCAAGAGCTATAAAAATGAATCTTTGTGTCTGTTTTACATATAAATAAAATTATAAATAAAATGAAGGCCCCATGAATATTCTAATACATTCTAATAAAATAAAAATATTTTATCTATTAGTACATTTTAAAATAAATTACTGTAATTATTTATTTATGAACTACAACTTAGGGAATTAATTAGTAAGAGAAAAAGAGGAAATTCAATTAATCGATCAGTTTTTTTTGTTCTGCTTTTGATATTAGCTAGCATTTCATCTTCAATCATTACAAAAATATATACTGCTTTTACTGAACTATAGTTTGGTATAAGGGATATTTTAAATTATGATTTTACTCTACAGCTTACTATAAATAAGAAATCTTAACTTCATACCTTACCTTTTCAAGATGTTTTTAAAACTACCTGTTAAACAAAACTTTCTATTTTAATGTACTGATTAAAATAACTTTTTCCCCTGTTCTCAGTAAATCACTTGCTTTTCTTTGTAGTCCATCTTCAAAACTTGACATTTATCATCTTTTTAAGAAGATAGATTTAAAAAAAAGATACAGATCACATTTGCATGAACTCTCCATGATATGGTTTATCAACATGAATCAATCAGGGAATCAATAGGAGGTGATAGAGAAGCTGGGAGAGACTGGCACTCTGTTAAGTACTAGAATAGGAAGCCATTAAAGGAATTAAATCCAGAGATAAGCTAAAATTATGTATTGCACATTCTAATCTATATTCAGAATAATCTTTTAGTACTAAATCAAAAGGAAGCTCTGAACAGAAAATATATCAACTAAATAAGCTTTTGCTGTTTATACTGTAACAGAATATTAAAAACACCTCTGCTGGTCAGGTTGAAAACAAAGGTTGCTAAAATAAGCAAGGTTTCAATGTCCTCCCTCCATATGATTCAAGGCAACATAAATTGTTGCACAAGCACAAAGGTATTTTTGAATACATTACTGCACACAGATTATTTTGAAACTATTGTGAGCAATTTATTGGTTTTTCAAAATATGCCTTATTACTTTGAAGTTGTATTTTAAACAAACCCCCATTTATAAAATTTGCTAATATGGCCTTACTCTTCAGTACATGTTATTGATAATATTCAATCTTAACCTAATACCTTATGCCAGTAATATTAAGACAACAGTTTTTTTTTGTTTGTTTGTTTTGTTGTTGTTTTTTTTTTTTTTTTTTTGAGACGGAGTCTCGCTCTGTCGCCCAGGCTGGAGTGCAGTGGCGGGATCTCGGCTCGCTGCAAGCTCCGCCTCCCGGGTTCACGCCATTCTCCTGCCTCAGCCTCCCAAGTAGCTGGGACTACAGGCGCCCGCCACTACGCCCGGCTAATTTTTTGTATTTTTAGTAGAGACGGGGTTTCAACAGTTTAATGAAATAGATTTATAAACTAATCATTGGCTACCATTTAAAATGAATGAGTTTATTGATAACCTACCTCCTTCCTAAAAGCATTTGCGAAGGTCTAGGAACAATAACATGGAAACAACTAAAAGCAATAGAAAACTAAAAATTAAATCTCAAAGGAATGACTGGCTTAGGAAAACTGCAGATATTAAGCTCAAAGCTAAATTCTGAAACTCTTATTAGGAGGAGTGAAATAAGCAAATGCTGAGTTACTTTTCCACAGCCATTGGGGGAAGAAAGTCTTAATTCCTGTATGGAAGCAATTAAATAGTTTGCATATGTTCAATGAATTTGGGAAAATAGAAAAGAAAGAAATGTTGTGTGTACATAAGTTTTACTAAATAAGGCAATGCTATGAGGTAGGGCTGAAATCAGTAGAGAGAAAGAGGATCTAGAGATAAAGCATCTCAAGGCCTTAATTTAAGAACAATTAAAAGTTGACATATTGTTTGATCAAAAATTTGACAAGGGATAAATAGTAAACAAATCCGCACAAGGAACCAACCAAGAAACTCAAGTTAAGGTATTCTATGTTTTGTTTGAAAGAAAATTTGTTAGATGCCAAGTATGTGGACACTCCTGGTTGTGTTTTATGGTAAAAGATATGTTTTAATTATCTGAAGTGCCCACTTGAATCCTTGTCTAAGTGTATGGAGATAGCCTATAGGAATTTATATAAAAGCTATATTTTTTGCCTGCAAAGTAATTAGACAGTTCATATTATCAATTAAAATATCAAAGGTCAATATTGTTAATATGAACAAAATAACCTTGAATGATCATTTTTAATGAAGGAAGTTATCAAATGTCACCTCTACCTCTGAGAAAACAAAATTGAGTTCTGTAACATCTGGACACATATTATCTTTCTTCCTCTGACACAAAGGAGATAATAACCCTTCTTGTAACCAAGACCAAATTTTCACATGTGCCCATGGATCCCATCCTCCCCCACATTCTCCAAGACTATACACTATCAATTATTTCTTTCTTTCATGCATCATCCTCTCTCTCTCTCTTTTTTACTGATTCTAGTGGTTTTGAACAATAATATTCAACATCCTTTAGTTTCTCTATTATTGTTTTTAACTTTCTTTTGTTTTCCCACATCTTACGTCAGAGATCTCTCCCTTTTCTTTTTGTAGGCAGCTTTGAGTTTTGTGTTGGGAAAACATGAAGCAAATTGATCTAAAGACGTCTATTTTTATATCTGAGTTCAAGAAAAGATGGGTCAAGATTTTCAAAACAGTTGGTAAGTTTGGAACAATATAGAGACTGAAAATGAGCTTACTAGAGATGTATATTAAGGTTGTTGAGCTATCAAAGTGATTGTACCTGGCATCAGCCTTTTCATTCTAATGAGTGTATCTGTTGAGAACTAAATGTGTCTGGTAAGGAATGAAACAAGTGAAAATATTCTATTTAATGAAAATGTAATTTTCCTTGTGAAAACTAATTTTAAACTTGTGATTTCAATAAATAACTTTGTATTAATCTGCTCCAGCTCCCATAACAAAATACCACGGATTTTTGGCTTATACAATAGACATTTATTTTCTCACAGTTCGGGAGGCCAGAAGTTCATGATCAAGGTGCTGGCAAATTCAGTTTCTGGTGAGGGCTCTCTTCCTGGCTTGTAGATAGGCACCTTATCACTGTGGCTTCACCTGGCCTTTCCTCTGAGCTCATGTGGAGAGCTCTCTGGTATCTATTCTTCTAAGGACACCAACCCTATGGCATTAGGGCTGAACCTTATGACCTTGTTTAATCCTAATTACCTCCCTACATGTCCCTTCTCTAAATTCAGTAATTTTGGGGGTTAGGGCTCCACTATATACATTTTGGAGGAGCACTATTTTGTCTACAAACATCTTGAATCTGTTTTAATTTATACTTCTACATTTGAACATATTTAAATATCAACCAAATAGTTATTACTGATAATCAATTGTTTTCTAAATTTTATATGACTGAGTTGAATATATGCTCCTTCACTATTTTACTTCCATATGAACATTTCAAATGTAAATTATAGGCAGTGTAATTATGTCATTTTAAAAAATGTGACTTTGCATTCAAAAGGCAACAACACATTTTCTGGATTGAGATATTGTATTAGGTTGTTCTTGCATTTATATAAAGCAATACCTGAGACTGGGTAATGTATAAAGAAAAGAAGTTTGATTGGCTCATCGTTCTGCAGGCTGTACAGGAAGCATGGTGCCCACCTCTGCTCAGCTTCTGGGGAGGCCTCAAGGAGTTTGCAATCATTGCAGAAGGTAAAGGGGGAGCAGGTGCATCACATGGTGAAAGCAGGAACAAGACAGAAGGAGTGAGGGGCAGGTGCCACACCCTTTTAAATGACCAAATTTCTCAAGATCTCACTACCACAACGACAGCACCAAGTGAGGAAGGATCTGCCGCATGATCCAAACACCTCCCACCAGGACCCACCTCCAGCACCGGGGATTACAATTCAGCATAAGATTTGCGTAGGGACAAATGTCCAAACTATATCAGATGTGATCTCACCCAAACAGTGCTAAGAGAAGGAAAACACAGCAGAGGTAGATTTAGGATGAAATACAGAGGTGCAAGAGGCAGGGCACAGTGGCTCATGCCTGTAATCCCAGCACTTTGGGAGGCAGAAGGATCACTTGAGGCCAGGAGTTCAAGACCAGCTTGGCCAACATGATGAAACCCTATCTCTACTAAAAAAAATTACCAAAAAATTAGCCACGTGTCATGGTGCATGCCCGGAATCCCAGCCACTCGGGAGGCTGAGGTATGAGAATCAATTGAACATGGGAGGTGGAGGTTGCAGTGAGCCGAGATTGTGCCACTGAATTCCAGTCTGAGTGACAAAGTGTGACTCTGTCACAAAAATAAGTATCTATATTTCTATATATAGATATTTAAATATATATAAATATACAGATCTATATATAATATATTTAAATATATATTTATAGATATAGTTCGTATTTTTGTATATTATATAAAGAGAGAGAGAGAAAGAGAGAGGTGCAAGAAAGACAAAGTTATTTGTGGGATACATACAAGTTCCAACTGCCAATTCCAATCTATTCCTAATACGAATCCCAGCCCTAGGAGCCCACAGAATCCTTCTACAAATCCTCCTTTACAATTAAGCTTACTAAAATTCTTGCTACTTATACTGCAGATTTCTAGCTAAATCATTTTTATGGACAAGATTTTCAAAAGAGTTGTTTCTACAAGCTGTCTCCACTTGCTCACCTTACAGCATTCAAAGAACTGCAGTTTCTCTTCCTCTTACATTACTTAAGCAACATAAAGGTCAAATGGAGCATCATTTATTATACTCCATCAATAATTCAAAATCATGTCACATTTTAGTTTGCTTCATAAGTAGATTATTAACATTCTTTCACAGGATTTTATTTTACTTGGAGTTTCTACTCACACTGACCTCTCTTCTGTTCCTAAAACATGCCAAGCATGTTCCTTTCTGAGGCTCTGAGAAGGAATGCTCTCTTCATTTAAACCCACGAACCCCAACCACACACATGCAAGCACACTGTCATCTTGCCATGGTTAATACCCATTCACCCTAAATTCTCAGTTTTAATATCACTTGAGGCCTTCTACACTGAGACCTTCTCGGACTCCACCCACATGAAGCTCCCCTCTTTTACTCTCATGACATGCTACATTTCTTCATGGAAATGTTCACAGTTCATAGCTGCAATTTAATTTCTTAATGTTTGTCCAAACTTCTACCTACCCATCATCCATTAGAATATTGTGTATCCCCTGAGGAAAGATGCTGTCTATTTTGTTAACATTATATATTCTATACATTTTTCCGAGCTCATGCCTAATAAATGGCAATAATTACTGTCTAATTTAAGCATAGATCTATGTATATTTAGCCAAAATTTTTTAGTGTCCGTACTATTCTTTGGTTATAAGGGGAACATTTGGTGATGTTACCTTAATTCTTTCAAATATGTGATTCTCAGAGCCTGAATGGAAAATAGGTGGGGTTTTTTTTCTTGTATGCCAATGTTTATCTACTTGTATTGGCTGTCTAGAATGCTGTCTGGAGGCAGAATCTGAGGCTGAGGCTAGGTTCAGCAAAAAAGAATAGTAAGACAGATAAATCCTCTCTGCTGAAGACAAAAAGAATTGATGAAGTATAACTCTTGAACTTTATGTTTGACATCTTTAACTTAGTAAAATTTTACCACCCAGGGTGCTAACTACATACCTAGTTGAGTAATTCTCTTACTTGAATTATTATTGAGATTAAGTTCCAAGATCATCTTATTTTACTGAGTTGAAGGAAATACAGACATGAAATTTAATTTCCAGGTTAGTCCAATTGCTTCTAAAGTCTAAATAAATTCAAAAATGTCTCTGAGGAAATCAGTGTGTAGACAATAGCTTGAACATAATATTACTAAACCAAAGCTCAGGAGAACTGAATATAATCTCTAACCCTGGCTAGTTCTCAAACATCCTAACCTCATCCATGTTTGTTTACCAATCTGAAAAATAAAGATTATGCAACTTTAATCCGTAACTATTAAATGAAACTACAAAATACTTTAGAAGTTTTATTTCATTACATTTGTGTGAAAACAAATATTTATTTTCTTATTATTGTTATTAATTTTGATGTGATGGAATAGTAAGTAGCAAAACATCAAAACCTGATAATTTAGATACAATTTCTAAAAATAAATGACTGCTTCGATTTAAAGCAGTAACACATGACAGTAAAGAAAGGACCCAGCCTTAGATATAGTTCCAGAAGAGAATCAAATGGTCTTATTTGGAATTAATATTACTTAACTCTTGGGAAGTGGAACTCAGTAATTCAGGTTTCATTATGTAAACATTTTTGGCATTTCATTTACTTTCTGAGTACAAACAGCTGGCCAAACAATAGAAGGACAAGATTATTTGCAAATTACTTTTTGGGTTAATTCTCCAAATGGCCCTAGGACAGAAACAAATGTTTAAATCTGTTGTGTACTACTTGGAATTAGTACTTACCTTCTTGGTTAAAAATATAATAACAACTTTTAAAGGTAAAACCTGTTTGGAGCTCAGTATTATAATTTGTGACATAAAAAAACAATATTAAGAAAGTTAGCAAACACAAATAATACAGTCAGCCTTACTCCCAGGTTGTACTCTAGACACTCATTAACAATATCTGCACCCCTTCCTTAATCAGATTCACAAACTCCATTTCTGTCCATAATTCTCATGTTTCCAGGCTTTATTAGTACTCCAACTATACAAACCCATCCCTGTCATTTCCTCATTTCACTTATTTTCCAGTTAGATTCCATGTTTCTTCATTAATATCACTCGCATATATTCTAAAGGCTTTTATTGTGCCAAGCTAAAGCTCAATTCTGGTTAAATCCAGTTTATCCCATGCATGCTTGTGCCATGTAGCCAAAGTATATCACATCACTCTGGCAATTTTCTTCTACTTTTCCCACAAACATAATTATTTCCTTTTAGCTACATTTTTAAATCCACAAACAGATGATACTTGCACCATCTTAAAACACACACACACACAAACACAAATACTTATCCTACATCCTCATTTAATTACAGCCCTTAATATCTGCTCACTTTTATAGCAAAACTCCTTGAAATACTTATCAGTATTTGCCCCCTCCTCCTACTCCACCTTGAGTTTGTCTCAATCAGGCTTTCATCTTCATAATGTTACAAAAGATCTCCATGTTGTTGAATTCAATGGTCAATTATTGGTCTTCTTATTAATTTATTAGCAATAAATCATTTAATATTATTATTTTGTATATATTATTTTAATTGTACATCCTATTTAATGGTACATCTGATATTTGGTTCAGCTGATGTCAGTGGTCATGCTTTTTGTCTCCTTTGCTGGTCCTCCTTACCTCTCTAACATCTAAACATTGGAGCAGCCATGATCTCAGACCTTTTACTTTCTTCCTCTTTATACTGTCTAGGTAATCTCAGCTAACCTTGTATTTTTAAATTCTATCTATAAATTATTTCCAAATTTATAGCTCCATTAGATACCTCTACCTTGAACCCTAGACTTGTAATTCCAATTATCTACTTGACATATCTACTTGCATATCTCACAGGCATCCCAAATTTAACAAATCTCCCAAACTGAACTTCCAATGTTTCCCCCAAAATCTACTCCTAACAGAATGTTATGAGAATGTCTATATCTCAGTGAGAGCAACTCTGACCATCTAGTTGATCAGGACAAAAAACCAGAATCATATTTGATGCATATTTTTCTCTCATAGCCCAAGTCAATGTCAGCTAACTCTACTAGGTTTATATTCACAACATTCCCTTAATCTATACACTTCTCACTACCTCCATTTAGGCCATGGTCAAAGGCGTAAACATCTCTGGTCTAAACTAGTGCAAAGTCCTTCTATTTGGTTTCTCTGCCCTCTGCTACTACTGCCCTTGCTCAGTCTACCCCAGCCACATTAGCTTATTTGATGACTTTGGAACAGGATGGACATGCTCATGCTCAGCACCTTTGCCCTTTCTGTTCCCTCTGCCCAGATTATTCCTCCCCCAGACATCCACATGCCTCATTGCATCTACTTCTTCAGATATTTCTTCAAATAACCCTTCTTAGTAAGTCTTTCCTTACTTAATATTACATCTAACCCTGCTACATATATTTAGTAGACATCACAAACACACACACACACACACACACACATATATATTTGTGATATATGAATGACTTTATTCCACATGGTATGTCAGAAGCAAGCAATGTTTTTCCAAGCATGATACATTAATCACCCAAAGCAGCAGCCAATAATATGTTCAATCACATTCCTTTGGAATCTTTTAACTTAGTTGTTGATTTGACCACCTAACCACAGAAACAAAATTTTCTATTTTGTAAATAACAATTAATGAATAAACTAATATATGATTAATAGAGATATTGCATTAGGTTTAGAAGAATAACATAATAGGCCTGAAATGATCATAAAATCTAAATTTTGTTAATTTCCTTAAGGTTTTAATCACAGTCTAATTCACACTGCTAATCTTAAAATGAATATAATCTTCAAGATAAAAACAATATCATATAAGGTTTTCTTCTAAAATTTCTTATAGTAGTGCATGATTTGGAGAAAATTAAATGAAAATTGCACCAAATCAAGAACTTCAGTAGCAGCAGCACTACTTTTCAAAATGTTACCAATGATTTATATAAAACAAACAAAATCATTAAATGTAAGAAAAAATGCAAGAATTGACATCACTAAAGGTGTTAAGGCCATATTAGCCAAGCAAATCAGTGGTCTAAATTAGTGCTCTCAAACTTTATCATGCATTACAGTTACCTGGACAGCTGGCTAAAGTGCATATGGCTGGACCTCATCTCCACATTTCTGATTTAGTAAATCAGGGGTAAAGCTTGCATTCCAGGCGATGTTAGTTCAGAAACCACAATATGAAAACTACAGCTTTAGGCTGGGCGTGGTGGCTCACGCCTGTAATCCCAGCACTTTGGGAGGCCGAGGCGGACGGATCACGAGGTATAGAGATTGAGACCATCCTGGCCAACGTGGTGAAACCCCATCTCTATTAAATATTCAAAAAGTAGCTGGGTGTGGTGGTGCACGCCTATAGTCCCAACTACTTGGGAGGCTGAGGTAGAAGAATCGCTCGAACCTGGGAGGCAGAGGTTGCAGTGAGCCGAGATCGTGCCATTGCACTCCAGCCTAACGACAAAGCGAGAATCCATCAAAAAAAAAAAAAAAAAAATTACGGAATCACTGAGCATAGGATATGCTAGAAGAACATCTATAGATTTACATGCATATATATGTGTGTGTGTGTGTGTGTGTGTGTGTGTGTGTATAAACTATCATGCAGATTTAATGAAAGGTAACTTTTTTTTCCAGAAATAACTCCCCCTGGTTTCACATACTTAAGAGAAAGAAGATGGCATTCTTTCTTTGTTGATTGGTTGATGTCAGAATTTCCTTTCCGCCTGTGTGGAATTCAGGCCACCCTTCACACCAACACCACCAAACAAAGCAATTTCACATGCCTTTAATAACATTCTAATTTTTTTGGATTATGCAGCTACAGGTATAATTTGCCGCCTTATATATATGACTCCCTATTGTGTTACTTCTAAAACTGGAAGTCTGGAATAAAAAAACTGAAGCGTTAGAGTATCATAGAGAATTATATAAAAATCAAAGCAAGAATACTTCAGAGAGTCTGATTGTGTGGAGTTATTCTTGATTTACTAACTAGATGTGCAGCTGGATCTCTTAAAATCCAATTGCCAACATAAAAAGAAAATCCTTAGTTTCTCCCTCATAGCCTGTACTTTCTATTGACTTTTTGGTATTAAAATATGTCTTCTGCCTTAATCTAGGCCATTTTACAACCACCATCTTTTCTCTTCATACTCTTTTCAAGATTAAAGGGACAATGGACAGAGATAGAAAAATGAGACGGTGTGTGCTTCTGACTGGAAAGTAGTGTGTCTGATTCACTGTAAAGAATAGCTTGATTGAGAAAAATGAGACTCTGGCACATACAAGGTTTATCTCTTCCTTTTATTTACAAGTCTTGATAAGCAGGCAACTGAAAAGACAGTTCCTAAAATGAGCACAGGACATCACAGATAGCTATCATGACTAAGTGTACTCACGAAGTAACATTTGTTTCCACCGTTGCCCTTAAAATCCTCTTTAATCTACCTCCTTCTCAGTGCTTTCATTCTCACTGTAATGGATTCTTATTCAAAATACTGATATCACTCTCATCCGTAAATTTCACACCCCAACACTCCATACACAAACATACAATTATTAAGATTTTCCAAAGCATGTAGTGCCTTTTCATTGAAAATTTTGACCCCAAATAGGAGTGCTAAAGTGACTGCTCTCACAGCCCTTGAAACATAATGGCACACGGTTATGAAGATGAAAGCCTCCTTCATCTGGGCTCACAAAATTGTAATGGATATCTGTCTCCTGTAGGGGTTTAATTTCTGAATTTAACTCTTCATCTATTATTTAATATTGATGTCTTACAGCATTGTTATATAGTGATTGAAGTAGAATTGGAGAAAATAAAAGATCAAAAACGGAATTTGCCTGTGTATAAATAAAGGATTGAATGAGTTTACAGATTATTCTGATCACACAGAATCACTGAGCATAGGATATGCTAGAAGAACATCTATAGATTTAAAAAACGTAAACACCTCTATGACTTATTCATAAAAGAAAGGGTATCCTACATGATAAAAATTAGTTATTGATTTAACAACCCTGCCAATATAATGATGATTTTGGCACACTTTACATTTCTCTATGGCATGACATTGAAAATAAAATCTAAGGACCTAATTGGAGCATATTAACGTGTGGAAGTTAATGAAAACTTGATACTGAAATTGAGAATAAAATTTTTTCTTTGATTTATATGGAAAGAAAAAAGTGCTTAATCATTGTTTAGTATCTAATGGGCTTCACCATTCCTCAAGAATAGTCAAAAATCAATCAATGAACCTTGTGATAAATATGAATGATAAAATACCAGATGGTTTAAAATAAGTGAAAGTAGACTAAGATTTTAATAACTCTTGAATATATCTTAAAATAGAATTCCAGAACATGAAAAACTCCCTTTTCAAAGAAAATAAAATGGATGAATAGTTTACTTCCACTGATTTTCCATTAATACTAGAAACTGAAGTCTCTGCTATGATTCCACAAAGAGCACTAATCGTACTTGTCAGATCCAAATTTGGCTGGTTATGTCCAAAGCAGTGGACAATAATTAGGAAAATGATTTTAGGGTACCCATTTATCCCTTTGTATTTATTTATCTATTTGATATTCTACCTAATTTTTAAGTGATTGAGGATGCTTATATAAAGACAATTACATTGTAACAAGATAAAAAATGAACAAGGAAATAAGAGCAAGGAAAAATAAAAATTGTACGATGACATGCAGTAGGGTTAGATACATATGAAACGGGAGAGTTCCCTTATCCCCGTCACAGGACAGGAGGTGCGACAGGGCTGTGGCTCACTTGTTTGGTCGCCCCACTGCTCAAACCCCAAGGGGAAGCATGCAGACGAAAAGGTGCAGAGGCCAGGGCAAGTGCTTTGGGTTCTGGCCTCATGGTAATGTCTAGGGGTAGGTGCCTGCAACCCCAGTGTTACAAAACTCTTTCAGATCTTTCCACACTCACGGCATGAGTGTTAATTAACTCAATGGACCCTCTGCCTTATCGTAAGGGCAGAGGGCCAGTGTGATAGCTTTCTGTATCCCAAGCTCTTGCCCGGTGTACGGGAAGAATCGGATCATACGTGGGCTCGAAGGATGAGGCAAGGTTTTATTGAGGGGTGGAGGTGGCTCTCAGCGAGATGGATGGGGAGCTGGAAGGAGGAAACGGAGTGGGAAGGTGATCTTCCCCTGGAGTCCGACCGTTCTCTGCCGACATTTAGAGGCCTCTTCCCTCTTTCTCTGCTTTCTGTTCCTCTGCTCCTCCGGATGTAGAGTTGCTTGCATGTTTGCCCGCTAAGGTCTCGGGTTTATATGGGGGCAGTATAGGGCACATGGTGTGCCAAAACGCACCTTTTTGGGCACGAAAACAGAAATGCCTGTCCTCAATTAGGGCCGCGGGTCTTCAGGCTTCAGTAGGGCCTTTGCCAGGGCAGTGCCCTCTTCTACCCAGTATTTCCTTGCTCCCCCTCCCATATCACATAGATACAGATGATAATATAGATGATGGTAGATATATATAGTTATAGATATTGATTATAAATATCAAACTCTTACAGTTGCTAAAGATGGCCTACAAATTTGCCTGTAGGCTTAAATTTCTTCACAAAGGAAAATTACATTTTCTGAAATCTTCAATTTTACAAAAACGATAATGATTAAACGTAAAAGTATTTAAACCATAATAATTTCTCATTTGTTTCTAATATTTCTCAGATTTCTCTGTAGTTATCCCCTGAAAGTTCCTAGATTTTACATCTTCAGCTGAAAGATAGCAGTGGAAATTTAACTCCTCTTACCTGCCATCAACATTGATTTCCATGGTAAGTGTTATTTATGTTTGACATATATGTCAACTTTAATACATTCTTTTCTGTATTTTTCTCATATGCTCATCATGCATCCTCATTTCAGGTCGTTATTTTTACTTCTGAGAGGAAATCAAAAATTATACTAAATATATTTTTCATAGGAAAAAACCCTACCCATTTTGCATTATTAATAAGAACAGTAAGAGTAAGATTAAGCATTACTGCTAATGGGGTCAGGAGCCACTGGCTAAGCAGAATAGCACTACTACTTTTCTAGCTTTTATCTAAAGTACAAGCTGAATGCCTTTATCCACCCATTTAATCTCTTAAACTTTGAAATCTAATTCCTTCTTTTAAATCCTCTTTTCTTGTTTTGTTTGGTCTCCTAACCCTTGAAGTTCTCTTAGATAAGCCGTAAGTTCAGTTGAAATAATCCCTATTGATTCTTGTGTTTCTCAGAAAGCTTGTGAGCAGGAAAACAAACTCAGATCAAAAGCTGAAATAAATGTCACTGAGCTAACAAAAACAATAAATGCATTTAATATTTAAGCTAACAGTAGATATTTGTAGCCGAAAGCATATCTTCAATAACAAATACCCAGTAGCACTTAATAAATGCTCAGCTAACCCTTACACACCCCTATGTGGCAGGTGTTGTTATTATCCCTATTTTATAGATGAGGGAATTGAATAGATGCAGATTAAATACTTGGTCCAAAGTCACACGGCTAGTGAGGGATGGAGCTGCAATTTAAACTCTATCTAGCGGTCTGCTCTAGTCTATACTCCGAACCTCTAAACTGCCTCTTCTGAGAGGGAACTGATCATAGGCAGTCCTCCCTGTTCTATAAGCAGCTTCTCATGTAATTCTGATTATTCACTCTCCCACGGCTCACACCACTCTGTAGCAATTTAACATCACCAGACAAAGCATCATGCAAATTAATTTATTCTACCAATGTGTAAAATATTTAAAATATATAATATTTATATTCTTCATACGTGTAAAGAAAAACTAATAAAGTGAAATAGAACATGGAGTAGTTACACAGCTATTTAGCTACCAAATAGACATTTGTAAATTCCCAACTTAGTATTCTAATCACCAGGTTTGTATAATTTTTCCATGTCCCCAAATCTTAGCAACTATCTGAAAATTGTGGACATTTTGAAAATCAAAATTTACCATAAGGTCTAATGAAATATTGACTAAATATTCTAATACATCAAAATGTCAAATCACACATCGTAGTGTACTTGAGGAGAATACTATCTATTGTCTGGTGCCTGTATGATTAAGAGTCAAAAGATAAACAATTTGTATAACTAATACTTTAAAACTGTAATAATATAAAGAAATAATAGATTCAAATAAATAACAAATATAAAGTTGTTTGTGTTCTTTTGATTTTGGCTCCAGGGGCAAAGATCTTGAGTTTGCATTTCTAGATTCAGTACAATACAATAAACCTTTTCTAGCCATCTAATATTTTCAAAACTTTGAGCCAGATCTTGAAGAGGGGTAGAGCTGTGTGAACAGAACCCAATGTGTACGCTCATAAAATTTAAGATGTACTAGAAGGAGTAAAATATACTGTATGTACAAAATAACTATAACACAATGCAAACTGCTAAGAAAATATAAGAAAATGAAGTGTTATTAAACCTTATATAAAAGAAAAATTTGAGATTTGATATCATTCAAGGCTGAGTCCTGATAAATAGATTTTTACAAGAATTATAGAAATGGAAAGAAAGGAACTACTAATGGGAAGAGTATCATGAGCAAGGACAAAGTGGCAGGAAAGATCAGTGAAGGTTCTCTGGATGGCATCTGCTTAGTTTGGCTTCCGTGTGCAGTGGAAAAAGAAGTGTAGTAGGACTGCCATAGACACTTAGGATCAAATGATGAGGAGCCTTGAATGTCAAGAAAGAACACAAGTAAAAGTCATAGAAGATTACAGAAACAGCGTGTGATATAGGGCATTTGATTTAAGAAATGTTCTCTCAGAGTAATGAGCAGAATTAACTGGGAAGGTTGAAGGCCAGAGGTGGGAAGACCAATTAGGAAGCTATTATAGTTGTCCAAACTATTGGAAATAGGGATCTAGACCAGGTCAGTGACAATGTTAAAAAAAAAAAAAAAAAAAAGAAATGAATGAGAGAGAAACTGCAGAAGAAAATGAACTTTCTAGGTAATTTCTTATACTTGCTTTCTGAGGAAGAGAAGGGAAAATTAAAAATTAATTCTAAAATTTAATGTCCAATTGATTGTAAGAAATAGGAAGCTATTAACCCAGCAAAAGATTATGGAGGGAAATGCTTGTGGGAAAAACAGGCTGGCTTGTGGACATGATTAATGCGAGGTGGTAGAGCAAAATCTGTGTAAAGGTACTCATCACACACTTATTGAGTATGAAACTCAAGGGAGAGATTAGGGGATTAATGTGTATTTGGGATTTCTCTGAATACAGATGATAGTTGAAATTGCACCAATAAGTGACTCGGCAAGAAAAGAGAAAAAAATGTAGAAAAGGAAACCAGACAAGAGATTCTTAGATATTATATTAAGAAATAAAAGTAGAGTTAGGAAGAAAATATCAAAAGGTTAACACAGAGCAATGACACAGAAGCCAAAAGAATAAATTTTCATAAAGAAGATAATGAAGTAGAAAAAGGGTGAGAAATGGGAATCAATTTGATTTTTTAACTAGGTGACTTTTATAGAGAAATGTCAGAAGAGTTATAAGGATAAAAGCTATGTTACCAGGCAGTCAACAGTGAGGAAAGGTAGATATGGAGTATAGATTCATATGAGAAAAAGTAAAAAGTGAGTTACTGAGAGTTATTAAATGGCAAAATATACTGTTGTTAACATTTGTTATATGTTACTTTATTTTAATAATAAAAGTTTTAGCATTCCAGCATGTGAACCCTCTCCTATGTTTATAATATGTCCCACAGTAGAAATCTTGCTGGACAACATTAAAAGCTGGAAAGACAAGGTTGTCCCTCTGGCCTACCCATAGGGCAAGAGTGCATGATTGGAGCTTGTCCATGTACGTACTTTTGCCCAAAATATTGATTGTGGAGTAAGTCACACAGACAAGTAGGGAGAATGAACAATTTCTTTCAATAGCAGCACCAGCAACATCTTATTTCTAGAAGCAGCAGGACCCAGTGCCAGCAAGAGCAACCATTGTACAGCAGTGGTGATAATGGCATTTCTTGCGCCATTTCTAAAACATCATTTTGGTTGTATTGTTGGCTGTGCTGTCCACCTTGTTTCTTTTCCACTTTTTGAGTCTGGTTTTCTAGCCTTCCAGAGAGTTTGGAGAGCTAGTCAATATCCTTTCAATACATGACTTATGTGGGTAAATCAGCTAGAATTGATTTTTTGTTTGTTTGTTTCTTATCCCTAAGAATAAGGCACACCCGTGTGATTGACCCATGTGTGATTGACACACAGATATGACAAAAGATGAAGGTAACTAGGAATTTTAGGTTTCTGACTTGAGAATAATTGAAATGTCTTACTCTCTTACCCAGCTATGCAGGCTGGGTAAGAAAGTAAGTCAAATGAGCGAAGAATTAATTTTATGTAATAATTAAAGGCCAATAGAGATTTGAGAAATTAATGAGAATAAATAATAGATTCAGAAGAACAGAGTTTAAGAGGGATTACAGGAAAATTTAATAGTTCAATATAGCTGAACTCAAAAGATAAAAGGGTTCCCAAGCTTTCTAGGAAACTATTTGGAATCAAGATGACTTTATTTGATCTTGTCACTAACTGTATACCCTTAAGGAGGGGTTTTTATACTCACAGGAAATAGAGTCCACATTTGAGTGTTATTTGGTGCCTCCCATCAAACTCCAGAGATCTCTCTGCCTCTTGATTCTAGTATTAATACATCTCGTGTTTCTCCCTGGCTGACTTACTATCACTTGATTTCTATATATTCCTCTTAACTGTTTATACCCATATACCATATGGTTTAAAAATGAAAAATAAAAGCATACAATGAAAAACAATATTCAATTATCTCCAGTCTAGTCCTGTTCCCCAGAACCAAACCTCTCTATTTATGTTTTTCTTCTGAAATAGCAGGGTTAATTTAAAAAGTTGAAAATCCCGACCATGCATATTCAGTACAAAATGAATCATCATTGTTAATATTCTGGGAGTGGAAATCTCCAAAAATATGTACAAGATAGAATTGCTATAGGGTTACATGACGCTAGAAACTTCAAACTTTAAGTCACTCCTAAAGCAGGATTCTTGGCTTGGGTTTGTTTTGTTTGTGTGTGTGTGTGTGTGTGCATGCGTGCACGCGCGCACGTGTGTGTGTGTGTGTGCATGTCTTGTCTTCATTTGTTTTTGTTTGGTTTAGGAGTTTGTTGCCTAGACATGGAACTGAACCTCTGAGCTTAGAGAGTGGAGAGTGGAGATGGCTGTGTCTTGTACTCTTTTTCCGTAACCAAGGTGAAGCAAAAATAAAAGTCTACAGTTATTCATATTTTATTTTCCCAGATACCTATATGTTTTTAATTATAAATGACTAGTCAGTTTTTAAAAAGCAGTTATTCATTCTCAAAAAAACCTTATGAAAATTGTTTTGTTGCAATTTATGCAAATTAAGAGTTCATCTAAATATTCACTCAGAATTTTAAAATCACAAACCCAGCTGACTTCAACTATCTTATAGATTATATAGAAATTTATTATTAAATATTTTTAAATGGAAAAATATATCTTAGGTTTAGGGTTAAAAATGTTATCTAGTTTATCCTCCCAACCAATGGAGAACAATGGAATATTTCTAATTCAGTGCATCTATCTACAGTGCCTCTTTTTAATTATTAGAGAGTTCTACATTATTTTTAGTCAATTTACTTTCTATTCATGTTTTCTCTCTTTTCAAAGTTGTGCTGTCTGAAACAACATAGCTTAGGTATCCTTCACTCTGCAGAACCTTAAAATATTGAATAAAACAATTATTTCTTCTAGCTAAATATTTATAGAAGCTTTAATTTCTTTTCAGTTGGAGCCCAAACCTGTTTGCCAGTGTCTCTTAAAATGTGTGTCCTGAATTGAACACAACATTCCACATAGAAGCCTCATCAGTGCAAGCCTTTCACAAAATCAGAATGTTCCATTTCTAATAACATAGCATAAGAATTAGCTTTCTTTGACAAATGTGCTAACATATTGACCTTGTGGTCTTCCAAAGTCCTAGGTGTTTTTCAAACATACTGTTCTCAAACTAGGTCTCCCTTTGTGCATATCATTTCTTATGCATAAACTCTTTACATAAAATTTAATGGAGAAAATAGTGTGTGTACTACATAGTTTTATTTAACAGTGTTTTTAGCCACCATTCATCAACTCATGCACAGAAAAATCCAACAAATAATTTCAAAGACCACAGAGTAAGTTATCAGCTTGCTATAGGCCTGACATAATGAAGCTGTCAACAATTTTTTACTCAAGTGAAATAAATAGCCCTAAATAATAATTATGTATTTATTTAGTGTTATTGTTCCTCAAGGCACTTTTCAATCATTGATTTACAGCTCATCATCCAATACAGGTAAAAAAAAGTTTTATTATGATAGGGCTTACCACATGTGAAAATATATTAGACTCAATTAAAAAAAATCTTGAAAATTCTTCTAGAAGGGATAGCTCCCCACTTGGCAGTAGGCATATATAACTTTGCTTTTGTAACAGCTCCCCAGTCTGAGCTTTATTTACTTCCCATTTACGTCTTTTCATTCTAAATGCCTTACCAGTGACTTTCTACCAGTATCATTCTTTGAATGGCCCTAATTTCTCTTCATGCTATCTTGATATTCTTTGAGGAAATATCTAAGGACAGTTATAGTGAATGCGAGTTGGGTATAGGGAAATGTGGGCTTCTTTGACTTATCTTCAAAAGAAGACAGAGGAAACAAACCATTATTAAACATCCTCCAAGGGGCAGGCAGTAGGCTTAGATATTTCATAGATATTATTTCTCTTCAGTCTTATAAGATCTTGTAAGGGACATATTACTTTTGCTTTATTAAAAAAAAAAACTGGTAGAACTTAGAATCAAAAAGTTTAAGCATTTGGCCCACTCCGAATGTGATTTAGCTGAGATTCAAACACGGGTTTTTCTGATTCTGTATCCATTCTCTTTCCTCTGAAAGAGCTAAGGTAAAAATCATTATGTTTGGTGCAGAAGCAGGAATTTCTTTAAGCATCAAAAAAGTGTGGCATATTCTTTTTGGGTCTCCAGCATAGTGGGGTTCTGCAGAGATTTAAGAACTCCAGTGTCCACATGCATTAGGTGTGAAGAATTTTAAATATGGATGTTGTTTTAAGGAACTTTCAGACAAAAAAAACAGATTTAATTATTACATTAAATGTTCTTAGCTAAAGAGAAGTTGAAAAAACGTTCACAAATTCAGTTACACGGCCTACTAGTGAGAGTTTACAAATAATTAAAAGACTCCAGAGGACTTCAGAGAATCCAGGTACACTGGAATAGCTGAGGGTTACTTGCATAAGTCATCTGCTTCATAACCACAACTAGCTTGAAAATGTCATGATCTCACTCCACCTGTTCCCATCTACCTGTAGTTGCTCCAGTTTCAAATGAACCTGCTACCCATGCAATGTGTCTTTTCATCTTTTAACTGTTTGATTTTCTTTGCAAAGATGAAGTAATAATGACATTTTGTGTCGTCTTTTGCTTTTCAGGGGTTCAAAAATAGCTCAGGTTGTTCTACGTGTCCATATCTTAAAGAAATGTCTAGCATACTTTTGCTGTCGATGGGTTCCCTTTTCACAGGTGGCTGGCTTGCTTACAATATGTAGTTTGATAGTCATTACAGTTAATTTGCTTAGGAAATGAAGGCCTCACTCTGCAGCATAAGGGTATTTTATACTTAGCTGACAAGTCCAGAGCCCTTCTAATAGCGCAGGCATACTCAGACTGCCATGCCTGACCTTGCTCCTACATCTCTTACTCAAAAGTGTAGGCAGTAGCCTCTGTGTAGGAACCCCTTCTCAACACACTATGATCAGCAGTCAAATTAACAGTTCTACTTACTCATAACTGTAGTTGGAAACTTACCAGATGAGGAATGGAGATGACCAATTTAATCTTTGAAATGAAAATCAGAACACCAAATTCTGAGTCATTACCAAGAAAAGATGATCATTTAATATGTGTTATTGTATATTTAACAATCCCAAAATCATACAGTTTGCATTCAAGGAGCACAAGAATATCCAACAGTTAGTAAGTACATGGTGAGAGTCAACTCAGTTGTTCTTTTACACTGCTCAATTTATAGTCCAATATATTTTGTTTCTGACATTACGCAGTATGTACAGTGTGTTGTGAGGACTGTTGACAGTAGATAAAGAAATTGTCTAAACTTTATATTTGGAGGAATACCAAGGAAACCTCATGACTTGAAACAATGTTTCCACCCACATGCTGCAACACCTTTAGAATGTCATTAATTTGTGTGTTTCTTTTTCTTTGAAGTGTATTTCTATTCCCTGGATGGACCATGTGGTTCAAATATTCATGTGATATTAATATATTTTCAGATTGCCTTTCTTATAACAGGAGCAACCCAGAGTTAAGATTATTTTATAATATTAATATGAAAATAACTTTGCATAAAATTATTAAGTAAAAGATAAATAGAAAATTTGTGTATATATAAATGTCTGTATCTATATATATACATATGACACAACTATTCGGGACAAAAATATACAGAAAAAGATAGGAAGGAAATACAATACAGTGAAATCATTGTCACTAGGCATGTGAATTCATCTATTTATTTATTTTTTGTTTTATGTATATTTTTAAACTAAAATTTACTAACAGGAGGCTCTTGAAAAAAATCATTAGCATGCATTTAACATTGTTCAAAAAGTTAAAGAGCTGGCTCCTACTGCACTCTGTTCCTTCATCCTCTTATAAAGTGCCTGGCTGGCTCCCCTGCAGTTGTTAGCATTCAGGATGTCCTGCTACTTCATTGCAATTTTCTCAAGACACGTTCCTCTGACCTTGGTTAGTTCTCAGTCTCCATAGAGTCATGTGAAAACTGCTCTACAACTTTCCCATGTCTATAGTACTTAGTTTCTATACATCATTATCCTTTCCCTAAAGGAGAATCAATTTTTCGTTGCATTTCTCCAGCATTTTTTTTTTAATAGTGCCCTTCCCAAGGAAATGCATTTAAAGTATCTTTCCACAAACACTAATCCACTTCTCTGGAAGATATATTTTCAATGGGATTTTGTATCCCTTATTTGGAAATTGTCCCTTAACACATTATGGCACTGCTCTTTTTCACAGGTTGAGGAGATATTAAAATTTCACATGAGCTTCTTTTCCACTTTGTTCCTTCAGCTTTTTATTTTTATTTTTCAAAAGGACATAGGTGTAGGTGCCTCTTATTAAAGGTATCACAGTGTAGACCAAATACAGTGTCATAGTGTCATACACTGGGTTGTTTCTCAAACCCAAACCAGTGAGCTACTTTGTTTCATCTATCTGCCTATGAATTGGAAAAAATAGTAATAAATTAAAAACAAAGTGAGGTCATATGATAGGATAGTAAGGCAAATCTCTACAAACCTCAATGCACAAATCAAAAAAATCTGTTGAAGACTGAATGCCAGTAAAATCTCAGGATACCATGCCTTGTTAAAAAGTCATTGCTAGCCGCCAGTGTATTCACTTTAAATCAGGTGTTTAATTCAAGGAACTACTAGAGTTAGATTTAAAAGAAGAGTAAGAAAAATCAATGATTGGCTGTGATTTAAAAGAAGTCATACTGGGCATGGTTTAAGATTTGTCACATCTCTCCTGAAGGCTCATAAAGCAACTGATGAGTAATATATTTAGCAATTTGCAGAAACCTTGAGGGTGTAAAAAGCCAAATGTAACTAGAAATCTTATTTTCAGGGAAAATATATATTTCATTCAAGATTTCATTAAAACAAGGGGAGCAAGGGTGAATTGTATTAAAGGAAGACTATGTGAATTTGAAAGCAGGCATTGTCATCGGGAGTTTAGGGTCAGCATCTCAATTTCTCATCTGATTTGTATTAGTCTTCTCAGATGTAGAAAGATTGTGAGGTTAGCTGGGGTTATGTCACACAGCTGCTCTGTTTTATTGAGAAGGCTGGTCCAGGGAAGCTGAGAGCTGCTTCAGGTCCTCCAGGCAATGTTGATCCACTAGTTTCACAACACATTATTGCCTTTCAAAGGCGAATGATGAATTTGCAAGTGGATTTAAGAAAGTTAAGAAAAAATAGAACAATTTCTCATTATGCTTTATTCTTATGTCTTTATCTGTTCATTAACCTGTCTCTGTAAGTATTAGGCATTATTCTTTTTTTCACTGACAGCAGGAACTATTGGCTGACTTTTAGAAATAAAACTACTTTCATTCCCATTTTAGTATAGTTTCTACATATAATTTCTTGTGATTAAAAATATTTTGATGAAATGACTTTAAACATTAACAATTTTTTTTTTTTTGACAGAGTCTTACTCCTTCACCCAGGCTGGAGTGCAGTGGCATGGTCTCGGTTCACTGCAACCTCCACCTCCCGGGTTCAAGCGATTCTTCTGCCTCAGCCTCCCAAGTAGCTGAGACTACAGGCATGCACCAGGCTTGGCTAATTTTTGTATTTTTAAAGTAGAGATGAGGTTTCACCATGTTGGCCAGGCTGGTCTCGAACTCCTAACCTCAAGTGATCCACCTGCCTCAGCCTCCCAAAGTGCTGGAATTATAGGCGTGAGCCACCACACCTGGCCAGTATTTTTAATAAAAGATAAAAAGTACTCTATATAAATGAGAAGCCAAAATAATCATGTTGGACTATGAAATAGGCTCTTGTTTTAAACATAGATTCTGTATTACTCCCTCTTGATACAGGAAGCCTAACAAATGGCTAACAGAAAACAAATGTGTTTTCAGAATAGTTGAAAAGTTTGTTTTTTCTTTCCCATTTTAAAGGGGATATAGGCAGAATATTTATACTGTTTTCCCTTTTGTCAGATACAACTTTTCTAACCAATTCCAGCCAAGCTAGCTGAAAAGTGAAAGATGCAACAAATCACTTACTCATTTGGTTTTTGTTTCACTTAACAATGACTTTGAGGTGTTTTTTTTTTTTTTTTTTTTTTTTTTTTTTGAGACAGAGTCTTGCACTGTTGCCCATGCTGGAGTGCAATGCCGTGATCTCAGCTCACCACAACCTCCACCTCCCAGGTTCAAGCGATTCTTCTGCCTCAGCCTCCCTAGTAGCTGGGATTACAGGTGCCCGCCACCATGCCTGGCTAATTTTTTTGTATTTTTAGTAGAGACAGGGTTTCACTATGTTGGCCAGGCTGGTCTTGAACTCCTGACCTTGTGATCCACCTGCCTCGGCCTCCCAAAGTGCTGGGATTACAGGTGTGAGCCACCTTCACAGTTATTCTCTAGTTTGATGAGTTAGGAATCATGTAAATACTGCCTGAATTGATATGGTGTCTAGCTCATTTTCCTTTCTATACTTCCAAATAAAATTAATTTTAAAACAATGAGAACACGTGGACACAGGGCAGGGAACATCACACACAGGGGCCTGTTTAGGGATGGGGGGCTGGGGGAGGGGTAACTTTAGGAGAAATACCTAATGTAAATGATGAGTTGATGGGGGCAGCAAACCAACATGGCACATGTGTACCTATGTAACAAACCTGCACGTTGTGCACATGTACCCTAGAACTTAAGGTATAATTAAAAATAAATAAATAAATAAAAAATTTTAAATGGATCACAGACATTCATGTGCTGACACAGTCATATGCTGCATAATGTTTCAGTCAATGGACCACAAAAATGACTGGTGGCCCCATAAAATTACAAAGAAGCTGAAAAAATCCTATAGCCTAATGACATCGTAACTGTCAAACACCACGTGTTCATGGTGATGCTGGTGTAAACACACCATGCTGCCAGTCATCTAAAAGTATACCACATACAATTATGTTCACTACATAATACTTGATAATAAATTTTGTTACTAATATAAAAAAATTAATGTTAAAAAGCAGGTGGTGTCTATTATGTATGCCTTCCCACTTCACTGAAATTGCCTCCTTGCGGAGGAGTAACATAAATTACTGAATAGTTCCTGGGTTACATAAGACCAAAAGGACCATTGGCCAGAAGGAACTTGAGAGATTTCATAGTCCTCATGGTCAAGACTGACCCAAAAAATGAGAAACTTTCATGAACATTTTGTATGCTTCCAAATTACAGAAAAGAATCAAGTTTTCTCCCACCAGTTGCATCTTCCACCAATCATAAAATCACACCATAAACACCCATATCCATGGAAAGTAGGAAAAGATGAAGAGGGCACTATAAGGTGGGAAGGAAATTATTGCAATCAAGCTTGCACTCTATTTTTTCCTTATGTAGGGACGGGGGAGCAGACCCAGAAAGGAAAAAGAGAGGTGAATTGTCAAATTTCTTTATGGACATGCTAATGACAGGCCACAAGGCCAATACACTAGTGATATTTCCTAGAAAGACTCTATGGATAGATATTTCCTGTAGGATGTACCTGTCTAGGGTTGCTTGAGGAAAAGTAAATAAATAACAATCACAAAAATACCCAGAATCTATAGATGAAGATAAATAATATGTAAGGTATAATAATGCACAAAAGAGAATTGTGTCACGACTGAAAGAGTCCACTTATAATTGTCAGACAGGTTCATCTTGACCACTGCCCAAAAAAGCCAATGCATTGAGAATTGCAGAATTTTGCAGCAAAGAAAGAGTTTAATAACTGCAGGGCAAGTCAGGAGGGAGGATGAAAGTTAATTCTCAAATCTCGTTGCCAAAAACCTCAGAGGTTAGGGTTTTTCACAGATAGTTTGGTCAGCAGGGGCCTAGGAAATGGGGAATGCTGATTGGTTGGGCTGGGGATGAAATCATAAGAGGCCAAAGCTATCTTCTTGCACTGAGTCAGTACTTGGATGGGGATCATAGAACCAGTTGAATTAGTTTCTTGGTATGAGTCACAGGTCTAGGTGGAGTCAATCAGTCGCTAGACTGACTTTTGTGTTTCACTAGAACACAAAAGTCTAAAAAATATCTCAAAGACCAACCTTAGCTTTCGACAATAGTTATGTTATCTATTGGAGCAACTGAGGAAGTTACAAAATCTTCTGACCTTTGGAGCAGTAAACAATTACAGAAAGGCAAGGTAAAGAATAATGACTGGTTATCGTTTACACCTACACCTTAGCAGAAGTCAGGCCCTTCCCATAATCCTAGTCTTGTGGCCTTTCATGAGTCTTACAAAGGTGGTTTTAAGATCCCTGAGAGGGTCAGTTTTGGGAAAAGACTGTGATCATCTTTGTTTTAAAGTTAACAAAGGTGGTTAGCTTGTGAGGTTAGAAGCAAGATGGAGTCAATTAGACTAGATTCTCTCACTGTCATAATTTTTACAAAAGTGGTTTCACTCTTTGTATGTGTGATATAGTCACACTTAGAGAGGTCATATGTTAAATCTTGGCCTGAGCATGCAGCAAAAAGGGACCTGAGAAGTGACATTGGCTGTGTCAAACCTCTCCATGCTTCACCTATTCCTCATATTACTTGTACTTTTGCAATTGTTACTACTGCTGATACAAGGTAAGATCTCTGACTCTCATAGGTCTCATTTAACAATAAGATATTTTGTATTATCTCATCAAGAGAAATAGTTCATGGCTGCCCTCTTTCGTCCTGAGAGGTCTCTGATCCTATATTGTCCATGTGAGTTGTTGACATTTTAAGATCCTCAACCTTTATCCTCAAACACTGAAAATTCGGAAGCTTAGCAGACATTTTGGCAATCTGTTTCAAAACTCAAAATTCCCAGTTTCTGTATTGTTATGTAATACAGCATGGAACATCGTTGCTTTTTGCCACTAAGCCTGCATTTGTTGAGGGTCCTGGTTAAGCCAAGGTCTTAAATTATGTTTGTTTTACACAGATATTCTAATTCAATTAGGTCACCGTGATGGGTAATTTTGAATGTCAACTTGATGGGGCTAATGGATATCAGATAGCTGGTAAGACATCATTTCTGAGTGTGTTTGTGAGGGTGTTGCTGGAAGAGATTAGCATTTGATTTGATAAACTGAATAAGATATTCCTCACCAATGTAGGTGCACATCAACTAGTCCTTTGAGAACCTGAATAGAACAAAAAGGTGGAGGAAGGGCAAATGTGCTCTTTCTTGTGGATTCAGACATCTATATTCTGCCCTCAGACATCAATGCCTCTGGTTCTCAGGCCTTAAGGCTTGGACTAAAACTATACCACAAGCTTTCCTGGTTCTCCAGTTTGCAGATGGCAGCTGGTGGTACTCACCTCTATAATCACCAGTCCTTCATAATAAATCTCTTTCCATACATCTATGTATATCCTGCTAGTTCTGTTTCTCTGGAACATCCTGATTAATACACCATTTTAAAAATGTCCTGCCCTTGACAGTATCCTCCCAATAGAAGGACAAAATGTTCTGCCTTTACTATTTCTAATTGTACTTTAATATTAAATTTCTGTGCAATAAATCACATTGTAGCAGATAATTTTATATCAAATTAAAATTTATTAAGTCACTATTAGACATTTTAAAAGTTAATAGTATGTGGATTCCTGAAAATTTAGATACTCATTTATTCATAAAGCATTTATTGTATCCCTACTATTTCCCAGACAAGGTACTACATTAAAAGTTATGGAAAATATAAAGTACGATCTTGATTATTTCCTGGAAGATCATTTAATATGTAGAGAGAGTAAATCAAGTACCCAAATGTTGGATTAAGTGTTAAGTGATATGAAAACACAGGGAAAGAATTTATGAAAGGAAAGGAGTCCACTAAGAATTCCAGGAGGAGTCTAATAACATTCCCCTGAATGGATGACTGTTGGTCGGAACCTTGAAGAATGAATAGAAGGTCAGGTCATTATGTGTAGAAAAGTGGAAAGGGCATTTTACTGAGGGAAAAAAAGCAAGCGTGCAAGCAAAGCATGGAAGATGGTGATTGTTCAGAAACACTTATGAAGTGACTGGAAGGAAAAGGATGTGCTAGAATAAAATTCAACAGTCTCTGGTATGATACCATCTTACAAGTTATTGCAGTAGCTCTGGCTTGACATGGGCCCAATTAAGGCAAAGGCAAAGAATTTTTTTTTTTAAGAAGGAGAAAAATGAGAAGGATTTAATAGGTGTACTAAGTATGGAATGAGTTAAAAAGTAATGAAAAGGGAGGATTTACACTACAAGAAAAGAAAATTACAGGCCAATATCCCTGATTAACATATATGAAAAAATCCTCAACAAATTACTAGCAAGCCAAATTCAATAACGCATTAAAATAATTCACCACAATTGGCCAGGTGCAGTGGCACCAGAATCAAGTGAGATTAATCCCTGGGATGCAAAGATGGTTCAACATACGTAAATCATTAACTGTGACACATTACATCAATAGACTGAAAGCCAAAAACCATATGACTATCCCAATAAGTGCAAAGAAAAAAAAGCATTTGACAAAATTAAACATTCTTTCATGATTAAAAAAAAAAACTCTCATGGATTAGCTATAGAAGGAATGTACCTCAACATAGTAAAGCCCATATATGACAAGCCCACAGTGACATCATACTCACTAGTGAAAATTTGAAAGTTTTACCTCTAAGATTAAGAATGAGACAAGGATTCTCACTCTCCACACTCTTTTCAACATAGTACTGGAAGTCCTAGTCAGAGAATTAAGCATGATAAAAATAAATAAAGGGGATCCTAATAAGAAAGGAAGAAGTGAAGTTGCCGCTGCTTGCTGACATAAACTTATATATATACAAAATCCTAAAGACTGTACCCCAAAACAGTTAGAAGTAATAAACAAACTCAGTAAAGTTGCAGGATACAAAATCAACGTACAAAAATCAGTTGCGTATCTATACAATAACAATGAACTATCTGAGAAAGAAATCAAGAAAACAATTTCATTTACAACAGCAACAGTAACAACAAAAATACTTAGGTGCAAATTTAACCAAGAAGGTAAAGATCTGTGTACTAGAAACAATAAAACACTTATGAAAGAAAGTGAAGAAAATACCAATAAGTGGGAAAATATCATGTGTTCATGAATTAAAGAGTTAATATTATTAAAATGTCCCTACTACCCAAAGCAATGTACAGATTCAATGCAATCCTTATTAAAATGTAATTATTTTCATGGAAATAGAAAAAAAATTCTAATATCCATATAGAACCACAAAAGACCCTTAATATCCAAAGCAGTCTTGAGCAAAAAACAAATCAAAACAAAGCTTGAGGCATCATACTTACCTGACATCAAAATATTCTACAAAGTTGCAGTAATTAAAACAGCATGGTACTGCATAAAAATAGACACATCAACCAATGGAACAGGATAGACAGTACAAAAATAAACCCATGCATTTATGACAATTGATTTTTTTATAAAAGTTCCAAGAATACATAATAGGGAAAGGACAGACTCCAATTAATGAGAAAACTGGATCCAGTTGAGAAAACTGTGTATCTATATGCAAAAGAGTGAAATTAGGTTCATATTTCATACAATACATAAAAATCAACTGAAAATGGGTTTAATCCCAGGGGTTAATCTCACTTGATTGCGGTGAATATATGTAAAACCTTGAATATATTTAAAAACTTAAATATAAGACCTGAAACTGTAAAACTGCTAGAAGAAATCATAGGGGAAAGTTCTACAACATTGATCTGAGCAATTATATTTTGGATATGATGTTAAAAGCACAGGTAACAAAAGCAAAAATAGATTAATGGGAATATATGAAACTAAAAGTCTTCTGCACAGCAGAGGAAGCAATTAAAAAGGTGAATAATCAGAGAGTGAGAGAAGATATTTGCGAACCATATATATCTGATAAGGGGTTAATATCCAAAATACATAAGGAACTCAAACAATTGAATAGCAAATAAGACAAATAATCAAATTTTTAAAAGGGCAAAGGACTTGAATAGACATTGCTCAAAAGAATATATACAAATGGCCAACAGGTCCATGAAAAAATGCTCCATGTTACTACTCATCAGGGAAATGCAAATTAAAACCACAACGAGATACACCTCACACCTATTAGAATACCTATTATCAAAATACAAACGATAACAAGTGTTAGTGAGTATGTGGAGAAAAGAGAACCCTGGTACTATTGGTGGGAATGTAAATTAGTACATTATGGAAAGCAGTATGGAGGTTCATCAAAAAACTAAAAATAAATTACCATTTGATCCAACAATCCCAGTTCTGGATATGTATCAAAAAATTAAAATTAATAAATCAAAGCGATATCTGTACCTCCATGTTCATTGGGATATTATTTGCAATAGCCAATATCAACCTAAGTGTGTATCAATAGGTGAATGGATAAAGAAAATGTGGCATATATTAATAGTATATACAAAATGAAATACTATTCAGCCTTAAAGGAAATCCTGCCATTTGCAACAACATGGAAGAACCCAAAGAACATTATGCTAAGTGAAATAAACCAGGCACAGAAAGACAAACATCTAAAAATGTCAAACTCATAGAAGTAGTAATTGAATGGTGGCTACCAGAGGGTCAGGGAGAGAGTAAATGGAAGACTGGGGAGATGGTGATCAAAGGATACAAAGTTTCAGTTAGACAGGAGGAATAAGTCTTTGATATCTTTTACACAGCATGGTGAGTATAGTTTATAATGAATTGTATATTTCAAAATTGCTAAGAGTAAATTTTAAATGTGCCACCATGTAAATAAATTAGGTAATGGATATGTGAATTCACTTGATTTAGTCATTCCACATTGTATATTTCTATGAAAATATCACATTGTACCCCATAAATATACACTATTATTCATCAGTTAAAATAATTTTTAAAGGAGGATTTGTAGGAGTAGCAGGTCTCTAGACCTCTGGAGTTGAACAATTTGGCTGATGAGATTAGCTTGCATGAGAATTTCAGGAAGGAAAAAGCAGGTGTGTTGACCGGCAAGCACCGACTATGACTTGGGCCTACTAAATTCCTTCCAGTTCTTCCAACAAACTAAAAGTCTAATGACTTGGAGTCTTTGTCCATGCTATCCCCTCTGTCCGGGATGCACTACCACCTTTTACACCATTTTTGGTGACACACAGCCACAGGGCTTTCAGACACAAACCAAATATAATCTTCTGAATATTTCACAGGAATAGAGGCACTTTAGTGTTTACATGGCTTCCTCTATTATATACCTTCCTCACATGCCACTATCATTACTTTTTAGCTTTTCTTCCTCCATTCAGACTCTTAAGATCTTCTAGGGTAGAAGCCACGGGCATTCCTTTAAATTCAGTACCTATCACAAAATAAGCACATGAGCATTAATATTCTGTTTTTAGTCTTTGTTATGCCTTTTCTAAATTAATTTTAATAGTGCCAAAATTGATTAGCTTCAAATCATGTTTTCTGTCAGTAGAAAAACGTGCATACATCTTAAGAATCAGCTATAGGCAGGTTATTGACCTTTGCCTATAAATCTTGCCACTTTTCCTGTGTGCATGTAAGCATACATTTTGGTAAGCATATATGTACATTGAATAGTCATGATGAGAAATAAAAATAATATCCTTGGATTTTTCTCCCAGCACCCAATTCATCTGAATAGCCAATTGGTTGTTGTAGTTGTTGGCAAATGATGTCTGAATTTGTATGTTTCTAGTCAGCCCAGAGAAACAGGAATCAATGAATTTGTCACTTTCTATCTCTTCTAGCTTCGTTGTTTTTGTGATCCTTTATTCCACTGCAGTAAAGTGTTAATGCAATTGACTGGTAGTGCCTACAAAATAAACTCGCTCCTCCTTTTGATAGGCCATGCTTTGAAGAGCTAAACGGCAAATCTTTTTGATCTAAACAGTTTAATTACCTTGCTAAAAAAAAAAAGAATGTGTATCCCATGCGTTGATTATCTTTCTTAGTCATCTCTCTAGGAGCATGCCATTTTTTCCTTACTAGGCTCTCTGTTTCTTTAAACTACTCTCCAGATTTTCCAAAAAAGTATAAAAACCCCATAGTGTGTGAAAACTTTGCAATTTTCACTGGGTACAATTCCAATTAACTCAAATATAAGGATCAGTCCTAAGGGCTGCATGATATGTCTATGTTAGAACAAACTAATAAGTGAAACAAAAACATCACAGCCTAGAGAACAGAAAGGAGCACTTTTCCTGAAATGCTTATAATCTGAATATGAGCTCTAATGACCATGTTTTGATTAATTTCCAACAGAGATGCCTACCCAGGCATGAGAATTTTTCCACTACAGCCTGCTCAAAAAAGACTTCTGTGTTTTGAAACAACACAACAACACTCATGACTGCTGCTTTTTGTTGCTTTATTTTTCTAGAAAAGCACTTCTTAGCTTGACAGATGTTCAGCCATTCTGTCAAAAGGATTTCCTCAGAAAAGTTAGGGGATACTGTGTAGGCCATGTCTTCCCATAATGTCATTGGAAAACTAACAGGGAGTCTTAGCAGGCTTTCATTCACTCTCAACCACCATTACTGCTGAATACATTAAATAATACTTCCCTCTTTAGTACATTTCAATGTGAAAAAGCAACCCTGGATTTTAATGTGTTTGTGAATTTGAACTGGATACGTTTTTTTAAAAATCATTCAAAACTTCAGAATTATACATTGCTGCTACTGCTTTACCAATACTGTTCTGAAGCAACCAAGGATTATGGGGCATAAAATTCTGGAAATTTCTGTTAGGCCTGGTTTGGTTTCAAGTAGATTTCTCTAGTGAAAAAGAATATTCAGAGTGCTTGAGGATATTAACATGATACTTTATGAGGAATTTCCAGATAGTTATAATTAACCCCAAACCAAACGCTAATCTCCTGAAGCTGTTCTACATAAGGGTGGTTCTCTCAGATTTAGCCCTGTTCAATCAGGGTACCAGACTGGGTATTCTGGCTACCTCTGAAGGCCAGCACCCATCCAGGATGTCTCTGTGATAATATTAGGCTTCCTCCTTAATGGTTGGCTCAAGGATGTCCCTGGATTGGAAAGTCATATTCTTGAAAAGCCTTTATTTTCCCCTAGCAATGCCAGTCAGCATTAACTTACTATTAGACAAGAAATTCTTAAATACAGAGCCGATTTTACTTATCTAGGATCAAGAAGGAAAATAACATTTAAGAGTCTATAACGTACCAGAAACCTTGTTTAGTATTTTGTATCTTTAGTCTTCCTAAGAAAACTAAAAGGAAGTCACCATTATTTTCATTTTCTGTATGAGAAAATTCCTAATAATCATAGAAGGCAATATCCTAAATATGATAGCTGCTTTCTTCGTATATTGTTTCATTTCCCAGTTTTTTCTTCATTTTTTAACATTCTAAACAAAAGAGATCCTGTAAAGAAATTACAACTGTTTCCTGTCACTTACATATTTATAACCATGTACTAATTTTCGTAAAAGGATGGTGACAAAACTCAACACAGTCCCGAAGCTCTCCATATCATCTCTCCCATGTCTCCATGGACCACGTTCCTTTCTTCTCTCTAATGTTCCTTCTGCTTCTAATGCCCCAAATGTGCTGACTCCTCCCTGCCCTAGAGAGCATATGCTGTTTATTCCATCCAAAAAGATCTCTCTAATCCTCTCCACTCCCAACTCATCAAGCAAACTTGTATTCATTCTTTAATTCTTAGAAAAAAAAGAACTTCTTTAAGGTAGTTAAAAATATCATTTCTGCAAATATATTGAAATATATCTTTTGCTGCTATGAGGGCATATAATAAATCCTGTTTTATATTGTATAGCAAGATACATTGTTTTACGCCCTCATAGCATCCTCTACGTAGTTGCCAGAGAATGTATTTTGATTTCAATTAATATTTACCTAATCATATGCTTTTCATATTGCCTGTAACTGCAAGAGCCACGAGGGCAAAATCTATGTCTACTTTATTTACTGCTGAAACCCCATGGCCTAGAACAGTGTTTGAAACATAGTAGGTGCTCAGTGAATACTTGTTGAATGAATAAATGAGCCACTGCTCTGCATAATTAGTGTCTTTATTTTACTTAAAAAGCCATAGGTGAGTTTACCCTGAATTAATATTTCCAAGGATTTTTTCCAATTTTTTCCATATCTGAGTGTTTAGCCATCTTTCTGTGAAATATGAGAAATCACAAGATTGTAACATGTTAGAAAATAAAATGAAACAGGGCTGTTTTCAGTCTTGAGCTCCAGATTTGTATTTATATCAATATATCTTATTATTGATTATATAATTTAACCTACATTCCACAAAACATAATTTTGCTTCTTGACCCTTTCATTTAATGTACACTTGTTGGTTCTGGTAAACACATACTTTGGAGAGTTAGAAAGGAAATTTGAAGTTGAATAAAAAGAAATTTATCTACAAAAAACACAGCCTGACTTTCATTCAACTATTAAGATTTCATTAAATATAAATAAAAATGAAATACACGTATTTGGGTTTGTGCATAAAAGAAGAACCACACATGTTCTGGTTTTACAATTTCTATCTTATTTCACCCCTTTGTAGCATTAAACACTGTTGATAAGTCTTTTTTCAAAGTCTTTTCTCTGGGCTTCCATGACACCAGGTTTTCCTCCTAATTTTCTTCCTTTCTTTCTATTGCTACCCATCACTCATTTTCCTGGCTTTTCTTCAACTCTTTCTTCCTTAAACAGCATGTATTGAAAGCTCACTGTGTATCTGGTGCTGAGCTATATTCTGGAATCAAAAAATCTTACTCTTTTTTCATCTCACTAAACCCTCTGGAAGGGATTAAACACAATTTTTGTTTTATGCTGATTACTTCCAAATCTGTACATAGTCTACACTGTTCTCCTAAGCTTAAGGCTCACATGGCCATCTGTATAATGGGCATAAACTATCTCAGACTCAGCATGTCCAAAGTGAACTTGCTATTCTCTCCCCAAAACCTTTCCACACTCTATCTCATAACTGGATAATTGTACCCAGTGCCATAGTCTCCCAAACAAGGAACATGCAACTCATTCTGACTTTCCTTCTTTATTCTTCAAATGCAATTGGTTCTAGAGTCCTAAGTGATTAACCTTTTCTTTATTTCCTTTGCACTGTCACTGTCCTAATTTTAATGCTCATCACCCCTTTTCTGTATTGCAATATTTAACTCATAACTGGTCTTCTCTCCCTCATTTCTTTTTCTCTCAAATCCATTTTTCATACTGCCACCAGAGTGCTATTTCTAAATTTAAATACGGCCATATGGCCCAAACTTAAAACTCATCCATGGCTTCAAATTTCCTCTAGGGTAAAGCCTAAGCTTTGTAGCACCATATTTTGTCATGATCTGATCATAATTTACCTCTCCATCTTCCTACACCTTATCTTGCACCTATGATGCTATCACAACATAAAGTGTCCTCCATAAGACATTGTATTTTTATATTTCTGTACTTTCAAAATGCTTTTCCTCTGCCAGAAATGTCTTCCTCACCTTGTACACTAGAAAACCTAACCACCAGAATTCATATTAGACATCTTTTCTGTTAAGCTTTCCATGGCCTCTTCAGAAAACGCTGTGCCACCACAGATGTTCATAAATATAGAACATATTGTTCCCTAATGCAATTACAAATGTACACATTTGTCTCCAACTGTATGTTTAGAACTATAGGACCTAGCACCATAAGCCATGGCACATAATGGGTCCTGAAGACCAAAATAAAATAAAACTCCTAAATTTCTCCAACAGACACTCCTTCGACTATAAAAACCCAAAATTTTAAGTTCCCTTCCAAGGTAAGATGGGAGGCTAATTACGTCCCATTTGCTTTCACCTTCTTTTACTCATTCATCATTACTAGATTTTCTCAAAAGCCAGCTTGAGAAAACAAAAGATTGGAAGGCCCCTCAGCTCCTCCTGTTGTTATGGCTCCAGCATAACAGCTATTCCAGTTCACAAGGAATTTCTTCTTCAATACTGACTACCGGCTGTGGACTGGTTTTGGCCAGTGTCCTGAGGATGCACAGAACTTGTACACTATATTTCACCTTTTTATGTATAGAACCTAATTATAATGCATGTAAATGTTAAATTGCCACCCCAAAGTGAAAATGGGTCATAATGTATGTTTCACACATGTAAACCTAAAGTGCACACATGTGAGCATCTTTCATGAATATTGATAAGTCCTCCCATCTCCTGTTAAATATGTACACCCTGCCACCCCATTTAGAATATATACCTATCTCTTCTTTCTCTCCCTTTGAAGCATGGCTTTATGGTTTTGGCCAGAGGCTTACTTCCCACCTGCGCACCTGCAGGATGGAACCCCCTTGAAATAAATCTCTCCATTTAAATTTATTGACTCAACAGTATATAACAAACTTCTGTGGAAGGAGTGAATTAATGATCATAAGTAAACTAGTAATAAATTAGACTTCTCCTTTGACAAAAAGTCTTTTCAAATAAAAAGTCAACTGGGAAAGCAAGATTAGTATAATGAAATCACATTTATGGGAATTCAAACTAATATTTTATTAACAATTACAAATCAGAAGATAAACAGATGGGCTGCAGAAAAGGTTTGAGTTTTGTTCATGAGGTGAAAAGGTCATCCTTGAGTATTACCAGTACATATGCTCCTCTACTTATGATGGGGTTAGTTCCAACAAACCCACTGTAAATTGGAAATACCATAAGTCAAAAATGCATTTAATACACCTAACCTACCAAACATCATAGCTTAGCCTAGCCTACTTTAACCATGCTTGGAATACTTACATTAGCCCACAACAGGGCAAAATAATCTAACACAAAGCCTATTTAAAAAGAAAGTGTTGGATATCTCATGTAATTTATTGAATACCGTACTGAAAGTGAAAAACAAAATGGTTGTAAGGATAAAGTACGGTTTCTACTGAATGTTTATCACTTTTGTACCATTACAAAGTTGAAAATTTTAAGTCAAACTGTTATAAGTTTGAGACCATCCTTATTAAACTTGGCATTTTATTTCTGAAATACCACCTTATCCCTATCCTAGTTCTGAATGGTCACCAATAGCCTCCCTCATAAATGTAGAAATTCAGGAAGATATGCTCCTTCTCCTTCCAATGGAGATACAGATTTTTTGTTAATTTATGACATAATCGTTCCTGTCTGAGCCTTTCTTTCAGGAATTAATTTCCTAGGGAACATGAACCATTTTCTGTTGTTCTTAATAACATTATGGTCTTGTCAATAAACATGATGATCACAGAGTTCTAAGCATCTTTAATTCCTATCCAAAACTTGCTGTAAGTGTGCTCTATGTTGGTTTGTCTAAAATTGGTCACAACGGACACATTTCTGCTCTTGTAGTTGATATTATTTGCATAGAGAAAAAGTTGTTGCTAGTAAATGCTTAATAATTTCCTATAAAATAGTGATAGTATCTCACTTTGGGGAAGGGAAAACTGAGTCACGTGGAATACATTTTGTTTTGGAATTCATTTCTCTTGGAAAACTAATTAGAGTTCATTTCATTCTGGTACATGGGACAGGGACACAAAAATGCTAAGGTTCCCAGTATTAATTAAGTTGTGTATATCTAAGCAAAACAATCTGTTGATCCAAAAGTAATTAAGCCCACACTTCTTTAAGAAGTATTAAGAAAAAATAAGAAAACGAGAAGTAAGCCTTAGCTTCTGATGTGGCAGCCTTGGGGAGATGGACCAGTGGGAAGCTAATCTTGCCATAATGGACAGGAATGTGAGAATATTATAGAAGGGCTGAGATATGAAGCAAAATTACTGCTACTGGTTAATACCATCTATCTTGTTTGGGTGCTTCTACATCTCAAACATCCTCCTCTGTGTTAGTCTCTTTTTGCAGCTAGCCTAATCTACCTCCAGGGGACTAATTCCTGGAACATTTTAAACATCCTGCTCTGGGAAAATACGATGGGCAAATGGTTAATACGACTTCCTTCTTTGTGCATTGTGCTAATAAATATGCCTCTTTTCCACTTTTTAAAGCCCCAACGTACAGTGTGCTCCATCTATCCAAAACAGATAGGATAGGACTATATGAATCAGAGAGGACTAAGACAACCAGTCCTTAACATGTACGTCAATATTATTCAGAAGTCTCTGCAGCAATGAAGACAATGGTGATGGCGAAATCTAGGATGTTGCTGCAGTCTAGACTGCAATCTCAATCTAGGATGTTGCTGCTGTAACACACAGACAGGTGGAAAATCCCACGATAATTTTTAAATGAAGGAATCCCCAGGAATTCCCATGACCTTTTCACCATCTTTCAAGCTTCTGAATGTGGTCTATTCATTTATTTTGATTAATCCAATAAATTAGCTTTGAATCTCTACCTTTCTATAAAATAAATTTAGTTAGCTCTATTATTGTTTTATTTAAAAGAAAGTATAAAAACCTAAGATATATAGAAAAAGGTACCAAATAATAAATAAAGTAAGCTCTATCATTTTAAAGAAATAACTGGATTGCAAAGGAAAATTGCTGTTAATGGAATTGTAACATAGTCCCCAAACCAAAGATGTAGTAATCCAGACAAGTATATTGTAGACTAGAGATCAGGGCACAGTTTCTATAACACATAAAACTAGGTTTTATTCTCTAAATCTGTGTTTAATATATTTTACCAAAATATAAAGTCAAATTGGTCTAATATAAATTTATAGCATTGAAAAGTTATAAAAGGGAGTTGCTATGCATTTAGAAAGGATCTAAGTTGAGTAAAAATTTGATAAATTTTGCAACTTTAAATTACCTGAGTTTATTAGTAAAACACTTGAAATCTTCTCTGTAATTCTCTCATTTCTCTAGATCCCTTAAGAGCTGTCAGGTGCATCCTTGGAAGTATCATTGCTTTTGTTTTCATCAGTTCACATATTCATGGCATTTCCCTGCTGCTTGTCAAAATAATTAATATCTGGAGTGGAAGAAATAGGTATACTGCATTTTAATAAAAAATTTTATACAAACATGGTTAGAGAAATAGTCTATTAAAAGTGTGAGCTTTCAGTCTTTGACCTTTTGTTACATTGCAAAAACATTTCTGATCTGCTTAAAGAATTATGGACACAGCTGTCATCTCTGTAGCATTAATGAAGGGTTTATTTTCAAAAGAATTATCTTGCTAAAGTTTTGAAAAAGTCTGGATATTCATCAATTTAGGATCTGCCTCACAGTCAATAAGAATAAATAAGAAAAAAAAAATCTGCTCTATGGAACTGTACTGAAAGCTTATGAGAACTTAAAGTGCCTATCACCTTGAATATACAATTTTTGCTCATTTACGAATAAATGTATTTAATTCCATCATATATTCTTGCTAGCTACAAGTAGGTTATCAGCCACTTCCCTGGGTGACCTATGGAATCAAAATAACTGTGATATATTAGATCAAGTTCTTTTCACAATCCATTATAAAACACAATGATTCACTTTCCCAAAATATGACACCACCCAATATCTTGTATTCTTCCTACTGATGCTGGGAACATTTAGATTTATATCATCCTCCATATAACACACCTGAAGTTTTTAGGTCCCATTGCCTCTGCTTTTAGTCTATGGTTAGGAACATTTTGTTCTTTTGTATGAAATCACTCTCTCTCAAGAGTTACTTAAATCAACACAGAATACACAGTCCCATAAAATGGGCAAGTGAAATATATTAGTCCAGCAAACAAGCATCAAAAGTACTAACACAATGACAAATTATTGGAAAAGAAGGGAATATGGTCTTCCTCCTGGTGTATTACATTTAAAAAAATAAGTCTTTTAGGAAAAATTGAAAATAATTGAGTCTAAATAACAAAAAGGATTGCAAATATCATACAAATTCTTAGCACACTTCATAACACACTTTTCTCCACAGATACCCAATGACATAGGAAACAAAAAGGTGTCTGATGTTTTTAAAAGGCTCCTAATTTTATATAGTCCATAACTTTAGCTTCTGAATTTCAGATAACCAAAAACAATGTATTTTTTAAAATCTCGATTTCCTGAATCCTTAAAAATAATGCACATACATACTATTTTTAAAGAAAGAATTATTAAAGTAAAATAATAATAATATATGTAGAAGCATCTAGGAGATATCTGGCACAAAGCAGACACAGGAAAATCAACATTCTCATTCTTTATCCTTTTCTTAACCAAAAGAATGTAGATACAATTTTGCAATATACAAGCATACAGACTTTTCATAGATGCTAAAATCTCTTCAAGCAGCACACCATGGAATTTTATTTTAATTTTACCTATTACTGATCTGTAAAATCCTGAATTGGCATAATAGATGACAATTAAGTCAAATCAGAAAATAATTTTATATGCTTTCATTAAAGTTTAAAGTAAATTGATGTAGAATTTGATCTAGTTTTTTTTTTTTGAAGCAGACAGCCATCTGTATCTGTGTGGGTTCTACATCCACAGATTCAATCAACTGTGGACTGAAAATATTCAGTTGAAGGCTGAGGCAGGAGGGTCACCTGAGGCCGGGAGTTCAAGACCACCCTGAGCAACATAATAAAATCCCATGTCTAAAAAAGAAAACAATTAGTCAAGTGTAGTGGCACATAGTTGTAGTCCCAACTGCTCAGGAGGCTGAGGTAGGATTCCTTGTGCTCAGGAGTTTGACACAGCAATGAGCTGTGGTAGCACCACTGCACTCCAGCCTAGGCAACAGAATAATGTCTCGTCTCTTAAAAATTCACAGAAAATACAATTTAAAAATACAGTATAAAGACTATTTGCCTAACATTTATATTGTATTAGATATTATAAGTAATCTAGAAATGATTTAAAGTATATTGGAGGAGACGCATAGATAATATGCAAATATTATGCCATTTTATACCAGAGACAAGCATCTGTGGATTTTGGTTCCCTAGGGGTTCTGCAACCAATCCACTGCAGATTCCAAGGGACAATGGGATACAATTTCATTTAACTACATAGCCTCCCAAATAATAAACATTTCTCCAGTTGCGTGTTGATGCTTAAAAATGCTTTGGCAGAAGACAAATCTTACTCCACGATGGTAGACTACACTTAAAATATGTAAATATAATGTTTTAAAACCAGCAGTTTAACTTCAACTCACCACAAAGTTATAGGGACTGATGTGTGAGCCCCTCTGGAAGTGAGTTTTGATAGGAGTCAGACAAGAACACTGAAGAGAGGTGAAGAAAGAAGGAAGGTGAGGAGAAGAAAGGGATATAAGTTAAGGGTAAACATTGCCTTCTATTTGCAAAGCCTCCTCTTCTGCCTTTCCATTTTCCTGTCTCTCTTTCCCTTTGTCTTAGCTCTAAACACTTCTTTCCTCATAAGGGTGACAGCATGTGCACATTTTAAAGGTCAAGAGGTGCTAAGCTAGACATTTCCTCAAGCATTCTTTTATAGGTGTTCCAGATAAAAGAGTTGGTGTTAGGCCGGGATTTAAAAGACTGAGAGAAAGAAAACCATGATAATTTCCCTTATGGCTTTTTTTCTAGCCCTGGAATTATAAAAGTTATAAAAGTGATTCCCTTACCCCCTGGTTTAAAAAAAAAAAAGTGACTACTATGGTAACATGTTTACATCCAGTCTTAATGTACAGAAGTCAAGAAAAGCTGAGTTCATGAATATTTTCCAGAGCTATGATACAAATTTTTCCAATTTAAAGCCAATTTCTTTTTATAATTCATTCACTTCCTGTCTCAGTTAAAATAAAAACAAAAAAATTAAATATATTCCTGGAATTTACAAGACATGGTCACTATTTTATTCCACTCTGAATTATTTTGCCCTTCTATCCTTCTTGAAATTTGCTGAAGGTCAGGCTATGTGAATATTTGCTTCTATTGATTAGAATTGAATAACCAGCATGTGGTAAAGTTGAGTAAAGTTCAGAAGATTGCACAGCAGACAACAAGACAGAGATGCCAAGGAATAATGGATTTCCAGAACAGCACAGACCTGTGTAATTTAGCATGAACTTTCTGGTTTTCTATGTACAAGTGTACTATTCATTGGCAATTAGGAGAATTTGTATGAACTGTGTGAAGTTTATTAAGTCTCAAGTTTTATATTGAATTTCTGGGTCTGATTGCATAGCAGCTCCAAAGTTTGCTACTGAGAGATACTTAGATTTTTGTTTGTCGAAAAGTGATCTAGATCCTAATCTCTCTTCTGCTCTTTTTCTTTTTTTCTGCTCTTTTCCCTACTTCAAACACTACCACCTCGGGAAGAGCTCACTTAAGAAATAATTTTCTGAAGATTAAAACTACTTAAAGAGCATCTTAATATTTAACATTTATAATGAGAGCTCTTCCCTTTGGGTCCAAGAAAGATTGTAGCCAAAAATAACTAAATATCAAACGCTAAAAAAAAAAAGAGAGAGAGAAAAAGATGTACACATTCAGATTGTTTTTCTCTTCTAGAAAGGTGAATTCATATACCTTGTTAACTTGTGCTTATGGTATAAAATTATTTATTATGGATCAATATTTACCTTATCAACTATAAGTAGAAGTTGATTTCTTTAATTGGAGTTCTCTTTGACTGCCTACATTGCATTTGTGTAATGGCATTGGTCTTATTTTAGTTATTCTTTCCTGTATATATTCTCAAGCTGTTTGGTATAATTAACCCCTTGACTTATAAATTGATAGAGATTTAACCATTTGTGCCTTGCGGATGCCCAAGCTTTAATTACAGTGCATATTTTCTATATGTTTTAATTTTGAAAACAAATCAGAATATCCAGAATAATTATTCCTTCTCAAAAAGCACAAAAGTAGGTGGACAGCAGTAACTTAAGAAGAAAACTAAGTTTACCATAAATGTCTCTCTTTTCTATTACACAGTTGGAAAAAGTATAAGGCAACAGTGCTGAGCCATTCAGAGAAATATTGTGTTTAATGTCTTTGAGAAGCTTTGAAAAGAGGGAAATATTTTTTCCTTTTATTGATGCTTTGGGAGTTTAGCCCAATAGCACTATAGTTGTGACTTGAATTGCATTGGAAATTGGATTCTGTACACTAAATTAATCTTTAAAAGTGTTCAAATAGTATTATAATTTATTGACAGTGTGACGGTATAATATACTAAAGAACTAGACAATATTCTCCAGCAATACATTAAACAAAAACTTGATTATAGTTCAGATTATATTGGTGCTAATTGATCTTTATTTAGATAGCTGAAAATTTTCTATTTCTGTTTCTGATAAAGAAAAAGTAGCAGCATCTACTTTCTTAGAATTCCAGGGTTTTTTTTTGTTTTTTTTTGTTTTGTATTGCTTGTACTTAATCTTGCTATTTAAAAAAATGAGAAACTAGCTAGAATTTAGGAGCCAGGAAATGTATTTTTGATTTGGTCTACTTTAATGTTTCTGGGCTGATTTGGTTGACCCTGTTGATCAAATAATTGGCCTTGTTTGCAATCCCATTACTGGGCATATACCCAAAGGATTATAAATCATGCTGCTATAAAGACACATGCACACGTATGTTTATTGCAGCACTATTCACAATAGCAAAGACTTGGAACCAAGCCAAATGTCCAACAATGATAGACTGGGTTAAGAAAATGTGGCACATATACACCATGGAATACTCTGCAGCCATAAAAAACGATGAGTTCATGTCCTTTGTAGGGACATGGATGAAGCTGGAAACCATCATTCTCAGCAAACTATCACAAGGACAAAAAACCAAACACCGCATGTTCTCACTCATAGGTGGGAATTGAACAATGAGAACACATGGACACAGGAAGGGGAACATCACACTCTGGGGCCTGTTGTGGGGTGGGGGTAGCGGGGAGGGATAGCATTAGGAGATATACCTAATGTTAAATGACGAGTTACTAGGTGCAGCACACCAACATGGCACATGTATACAAATGTAACTAACCTGCACGTTGTGCACATGTACCCTAAAACTTAAAGTATAATAATAATAAAAAAGAAGTAAACAACACAGAGCTTCAGGCTGATATAGTTACAAATATTTTAAAATGGGAGTCTGATATGGAAATGATAATTCTTCATTTGCCTTCCCAGACAGGCCTTCTTAAAATAGTTATACCCACTATCACAAAACACCTTATACTTATAAACATTCTTCCCTTTGCTTGACATGTACTTGGAATAAGTTTTGAAGTATCTGTAATACAAATAATTGAGTTCAGTAAAAGAACACTGGGATTAGAAGAGTGTGTGTAGTCTCACCATTAAATAGCTCAGCACTCTTAGATAAATGACAACGTCTCTCAACCACGATTTCTCTCTCAGCTCTAAAATGAGGCATTAGACTTAATCATCTATAGTCTCTGGCAGCTCAAATTCCTGTAACCTGTTCCAATTATACTCTCTTGCCCAATTTATCTTCTGTCAGTGGTCCCATTTAAAAGATTGTTGGCCAGTCAATATTTGCAATGAAAATAAGAGAGAAATATATTCAATTGTTATAGAAAAAAATCAGAGTTCTTACTCTCATTTTATTAATTTATTATATAATCAAGACTGAGACAGAGAGATAAACAGAAAGAGAAACAGAGAGAAAGAAAGAGGTAGAAAGAAAAGCACTGTAACAGTTAGTACTCCATAGTATTTCTTTTATAAAATTATCATCAAGGTTCTAGTATATGAGGAAGTTTAAGAGAAAAACCATATATAAAAAAAATTTGCAACTGGGTAACATTTTATAGGAAAATTTATAAAAATATAGACTATGCAAATATAATTAATTTTTATTATAGACGATGGCTTACAGTGCGATTTAGTGTTTTATCTTAATTTTCCTAAAAAAAAGGAAACTAAAATATTGACAATCATAACCTCTTTTATTAGGTACAATGTGTTTTTCACGATGTATTCCTGCCAGAGAACCAGCTTTCTAGTAGTATTTGGTTATATGGTTTGGAAATTAAAAGAACTCCATTAACCTCCTGGGTCCATGAGCTGATGAGTAGCATTCTTATACCATCATTTCAAAATGACTTCTTATTACTAACACTAGTTGTTCCATTATAGTTAAAATTAAAGACTATGGAAGCTTGTTTAAAGGAAGCTTAATGTGGACTTTTACACTGAAAGAGTGCTAATTCGCCACAGCAAATATACGACTACATACAGCAGTTATTCATCATTTTGACTTTAGAGCAAAATGAGAATTTGTGGCCATGCTATTAAAAGACTTAAAGGGCATCTTTAGTATCTTTTTCCTCTCCCAGACCTCTAGATACATTAAAATACTAAAGAGACACAGTCATGCAATCTCCTATGATTTGAATGTGTCTCCCAAAGTTTATGTACTGGAAACTTAATCCCCAATGCAACAGTGTTAAAAGAGACGGCTAAGAGGTGATTAGGGCATGAAGACTCTGCCCTCACCAATGGATTAATGCTATTATCATGAGAGTAGGTTAGTTATTGTTATAGAAAGATGCAGCAAGAAGGCCCTTGCCAGATGTGGGCTTCTCCACCTTAGACTTCCCGGACTCTAAAACTGTAAGAAATAAGTCTCTGTTCTTTATAAATTATGCAATCCCAGGTATTCTGTTATAGCATCACAAAACAGGCTAAGACAAAATCTTAAGAGTATTTGTTTGTCTGTAGAAAACAATTTGGGGCTGAGTTATGAGGTATGAAAAACAATCTATTCATTAAGTTAATCATCAGTATGAAAGGAAATTAGGAGTTGGTTATCCATAAATAAATAAGCATATGAACTTTGAATCTTAATTGAAGATTACTAAACAATGAAACTATATAAACATTTAATTTCTCTATTTCCTGAAGTAGCAGGAATCTCTCTCCTCTTAAAAAGTTTAAAATAATCAATATATAAAAGATTGAGGTGGTAGATGGATTACTTGAGGTCAGGAGGTCGAGACCAGCCTGGCCAACACAGTGAAACCCCGTCCCTAGTAAGAATACAAAAATCAGCCAGGCACGGTGGTGTGTGCCTGTAGTCCCAGCCTCTCGGGAGGCTGAGGCAGGGAAATCACTTGAACCCAGGAGGCAGAGGTTGCAGTGAGCTGAGATCACGCCACTGCACTTCAGCCTGGGCAACAGAGTGAGACTCTGCCTCAAAAAATATAAATAAATAAATAAATAAATAATTCAAGAAAATATATTTTTGTTGTTATTTTTCAGAATATCAGTCTTTTAGAGAGTGAAGTCAAAAGACTAATCATCTATTGGATGCCAGACTTTTGCGTGGTTTTGGTTGATGTTAAAAAATAAATTAGGCTTAAAAACATAAAGCAACTGACCTTTACTGACCATCTAGTGTGAGCCTGGTCCTGTGCTAAATATTCCAAAATCATCCTATTTCATTTGATTTCATCAAGAGACTGAAGGAAGATTTTGCTCTTTTGATCCACAGGTCAGATCTCTTACACAGTCATGAGAAACTAAAATGGCTTTGACTTGTTATACATACTAACAGCAGCAATAATTTAAACGTATTTAGGTTTTTTTTAAGATTTGATTTTTTAAATAACTTTTTATCAACATACATAAAACATATGGCCAAGTTGACTGCATCATTAACAGTTGTATCTAACCTGTAGTCACAGAATCAACATATAGGAAATATTAAAGAGTTAACTAGTAAAGCTATTGCAGCAGGTAGTGGATGTGTATTAGGCTGTTCACACTGCTAATAAAGACTGGGTGATTTATCAAGAAAAAATGGTTTAATGGACTCACAGTTCCACATGGCTGGGGAGGCCTCACAACCATGGTGGAAGGCAAATGAGGAGCAAAGTCACATCTTACATGGCATCAGGCAAGATAACTTGTATAGGGGAACTCCCCTTTGTAAAACCATCAGATCTTGTGAGACTTATTCACTATCACGAAAACAGCATGGGAAAGAACCTACCTCCATGATTCAATTACCTTCCACCAGGTCCCTCCTACAACACATGGGAATTATGGGAGCCACAATTCAAGATGAGATTTGGGTGGGGACACAGCCAAACCATATCAGGGTGTGTGACAAGAAGGGGGATAATGTAATCAAATATTCCATCCAACACAGGAATAGCTCCCAGTTACTCTGGTGTAGTGAAGAGATATTCATTAACAATGTTTTCTTCTTTTCTGTATTCTCAATGCTCTGGCATCCGGGCCTTGAAGACTGGGGAGAGACTGCCCCTCTCAGGGCTAGCCAATTCTTAGAAATACCAGATGACTTACCCAGGAGCATGCCTTTGATTTGCAAACCAACTAATCCAGACCCCATACCTCAATCATCTATTTTATCTAATTCTCACACACCAAGCCAATGTTCCCTGTTCCATAATCACCCTGGGGTCAGGTACTATACAACCAGGGGCCACTCATATAGCCCAGAGTCTACCAAAATTATTCAAACTATCCAATCCTAAACCTGTACAGCTGCTTACCCTGCCTCTCTCACTGCATCCCACAACAATCACAATAAAGGTTCTGATCCATGCATTCCCCCTGCTCCATCTGTCTCCTGATCAACTTTGGTGCTTCTCCATGTGGCCCTGAATGGCTTGTTGTGCCCCTACTCTTGGAAGCTATAAGTAACAAACTACCTTTTCAATGGAAATTTTCTCCTGATCTGTTGGCCTCACCATATCTGAAAGAAAAGAAAATTTCGGGTGCATTTTAAAACAGAGTAATTTTTAAATAACAGTCAGTTCTGAAGATGTTCTCTTCTACCCAAAATGTCAAGGAGCATAAGTTTAGATATAAGTCAGGGTCCTCCAGAGAAACAGAATGAATAGGATGTGGCTCTATCTATCTATCTATCTATCTATCTATCTATCTATCTATCTATCTGATATATATACATATATATATATACACACATATATTTATGGAGAGAGACATATTGATTATTAGGAATTAGCTCATGAAATTATGGAAGGTGGAAAGTCCACCATCTGCTGCATGCCACCTGGAGACCCAAGAAAGCCAGTGGTGTGATTCAGTCCCAATCAGAAGGCCTGAGAACAAGGTGAGCCAGTGATTACGTAAATCTCATTCTGAAAGCAGGAAGAGATGAGATGAGCTATCCCAGCTCAAACAGTGAGGAAGGAAAAAGGTGAATTTCTGTTTACTCCACCTTTTATTCTATTCAGGCCCTCCACAGATTGGATGATGCCGACCTACATTGGGGAGGGCAGGCTACCATATTAAATCCACCAATTCAAATGCCAATGTCATCCAGAAACACCCTTACAGACACACACAGAAACAATGTTTATCCTGAGCACCCCATAACTCACTCAAGTTGACACATAAAATAACCCATTGCAAGGGGGAAAAATATCTTCCCATTCCACCACTGCAGCTCTTTGCAACAGAGAACTACTGAAGATAGGCCAAAAGGTCACAGCAAAGTTCCGAAAAGCCATTCCTGGAGTAAATGAGTAATCAGTTGTAGGGATCTTTTTCAAAGAATATTGGCAACTTCCCTATATTTTTTTTGTAGTTGCAACTGGTGGTATCTAGAATTATATAAATATACTCAATAAAAACTATGTTCTAAGGATTTAATGTGTGTAATTTGAGCATTTACAAAAGAAGACAGAGAATTTGCTGTAATTTTTACAAAAGCCTTGGTGCAGTTAGGCAATAGATAATGCAGAACTCAGAAGCATATCACTGGAGAATACTTAAGTAAAATCATGAAAGAAAAAGGGGCATTTTCTGAGAATTGAAGAAGGAAACGTCCCCCTAAACCACTGGCCCATGATTCTAATAGGAAGGGCTTGGAAGAAAACATGAGAACCATATTCAGTATGAACTATATATAGTTCTCCTTCCACAGCATGGGTTTAGACACTTCATTGCCTTTAGTTTTAATCAGTTTTTCAGGTCTTTTAAAAAATAGCTGCAAAAGCAGTGGACCCAATTGACAACTATGGTCATGATACTATACTAGTACTCCATCTAAACACACCAGGTAGGCATTTCATTCATCTATGCTGCCTTAAAAAAATAATTCCAGCTATGTACCAGTAATTTTGTTCAATTCCTTCATTTTTATCCATTAAACTGCCAGAGATTAAGGAAGAGGAAGAGAAGAAGGCTATCTGGGGAATAGTCAAATTTATTGATTAGATACACTGCATTTACAATTAATTTGATTTACTGACTTGACTAGTTCATGTATTTATTTGTTTATTCACTAGCAAATATAGATGGAGCACTACTTTGTGGTAAGCACTCTGCTAACTTCTAGGTAGCAATAATGGACAAACTAAGCATGTTCTTTTTAATTTAGGGTCTATTCGGAGAAGCAGACGTTGAAAAAGCAAACTCACAGAAACAATCTAGAATTGTGGTAATGCTATAAAGAAAAGGAAAAGTCCTATGAAAGGGAAGAGTCAGGAGGCTGTGTAGACATATTCTGCATCAGAAATTAATCAGTCACATAAATGAGCTGATGTTACAGAATATTTTTTAAATAATTAAATTTTTGTATTTCATAAGTACGTGTTTTGCTTTTTGAAGATTTTGGTGGTAAAATCCACTCAATTTGACAGCTCCTTTTCTCTTTCTGTTCTTTCTTCATACCAAACAAGGGTTTTCTGATTATTTAAAAAATTTTTTTCTCAGAACAGTTTGACTTAAGATTTCCCCAAGCATTTTATTGGGCAAGAGATGATATAAATTATTCATTTTATAAAATGTCTTACTATTCTACCAATACCCATAGGAATATATGTTTTAGAACTTATTTTCTAGTCCAATAAAAATTAATCTCTACATGAGCATTACAGGCTATGTCATTCAGAACTTGTTTATATGATATGTTAGTATTTCTGTGGTGTATTGAGCTTATATTTCTGTTTAGATAACCAATAATTTAAAAAACAAAGATTTTTATTTTATTTTAATTAATTAGACATGGGGTCTTGTTATATTGCCCAGGCCGAAACACAGTGGCTATTCACAGGCATGATCATAGCATACTACAACCTCATACTCTGGCCTCAAGTGATCCTCCCACTTCAGCCTCCCAAGTAGCTGGGAGCACAGTTGCATGCCACCACACCTGAACAAGAATCTTAATAACAATAATAATAATGATAAAGTATCCCATAATTTAATACTTATTTAGAAGATCTATATAATTATATGCTTTTAACCAGAAGGGAATACACAGTATAATATTTATTAACCCTTTACACTATGGTATGCACTGTGAATCTTCTGATCAAATGCAGTTTGATTAGACAAGCTTAAAAATCTTTTCATATTACCAATATTTTACCAATAATTCAAGTTTGTGTGTGTGCATGTGCACATATCTTTAACAGGAGAATTATTTATAATCATATTTAGTATAATGACTAATATACTTAATTTCATTACTTCAATATTAATTCATATATGCTTATTAGCTCTTTTCAGCATTTTTTTCCTCCTCGTGGCAGCACTGAAATGTAGTATTGTATCCACAGTCAAATGAGAGAGTTGAGGTTCTGATTTTGATGGGAATGCTTCATGCATATTTTCATCTTTGAGTGTGATTTGGCTTTATCATGTTAAGAAAACATCTTTCCAGTTTAAGAAGCTTTATATCAGGACTTGATGTCAAATTTTATCACATCTATTTGGAACTGTTAAAATAATTACATTTAATTTTTCTTTGATTTAGTGATAAACTGAGCTGCGAGTTTCTAATATTGACCATTTGCCTATGCCTGAAACAAAAGCTTCTTGATCATAACATGGTGTTCTTTTAGCATGTGGTGAGTTTTCAATTGTATTATTTTATTTGTGCTTTTACATCTATAATCATGAGAGAAATTGGTTGGCTTTTCATGCTTTCTCAGGTTTGGGTAACAAAAAAGTAGCACTTGCGGCATCTTTATATAAATTCCCAGTGTCTGGAGTAGACCGGGCAGGGCTCACAGCTGATAAGCAGGATATAACAGACTATATTCAACACCTACCGCTGCTCGCACCCTTGGCCAGGGACTCCTGGTCAGTAAACTTTGATATGTTGTGACCCCAGTATCGAGGTTACATTCACTACCTTAAGTTTGGCAACTTCTCTTCTTTTTGTGTTTATTCTTTGTCTTTCATGACATTAATAATCTTGAAAAATATGGCCAGCTGCATTACAGAATATCCCTCAGTGTGTGCTTTCTGATTTTTCTTTTTGATTTGATTTAGATTATGCATTTTAGCTGAAATAGTACAGTGATGCTATGTACACACGTCATTCAGAGGCACATGATATTCACTGCTTCTTATTGAGGATGTTAATTTTGATCAGTTGTTGACTGTTTTCTGCACAGCATTAAATGTTTTTTTAAATTTTTTTATTAGTAAATAATTTGTGGAAAGATACAGTCATGCTTACCTTAATAACAGGAATATGTTCTGAGTAATATATTGTTTGGCAATTGTGTCATTGTGTGAATATCACAGAGTGTACTTACACAAACCTAGCCTCTATAGCCTATACACACCTAGGCTACATAGTATAGGCTATTGCTCCTAAACTAGAAACCTGTATAGCACGTTACCATACTGAATACTGCAGGTGACTATAACACAATGGTATTTATGTATCTAAACATCTAAGCACAAAAAAATACAGTAAAAATACAGTATCATAATTTTATGAAATCACTGCTGCTTGTGTGGTGGGTCCATTGTTGGTCCAATGGTCCAAAACATTGTTAAGCGTGCATGACTGTATTTTGGGACTATTAAATACATGTTCCTCATTAAATTTCCCCACTCTCAGAATCTATTAATTATTCTTTTTGTTGGAAACCTGAATTCATTTTTACCATTATGGTTGTAAAGTGGTGATGCTTAAATTCCCATCATTCTTTTTTGGTTGTCATTCTGCTATTGTTATTCTCAAGACAAAAAAAAAAAGACCTTTCATTTGAGCAAGTTCTCAACCTGTCTGTACCTCAGCTTCCTTATCTCCAGAACGGTTAAGAACTATATCTCTTAGGGTTTATGTGAAATTGAAAGAAGATAATGTATATAAGTATATTAACATAATGGCTAGTATAAAGTAGCATGCAATAAACGTTAGTTTCCCGATCTATTCTTTCCAACATAAGTTTTTAATTTATTTACTTTAAAAGTTCTTGCCTCTTTAATGTATAATAGATATTCTAATAAATAATAACATTCTAATAAAATGATTTCTAGATAAAAATACTTCAGCAAATCATGTGATTTCATCCTCCTTGATTTAAGCAAATTGTTAATATGACCATTTATTGAAACAATTGCAGATTCATTTGATACTAATCTTTGGAGTTTCCTGATTAGTAAATGTGGGGTTTACACAATTCTGTAATGCAGCTGTTATTGGAAAAGTCAGTACAAAGTTCAGCTGCAGTCTTGGAAATAGATTTCATTGTGTTTTATTTTTAGATGGTTCTTTAATTTCTGTTCCCTTTCTAAAGAAAGACTCAATTTCACTGTCCCTGGTATGTATTATTTCCATTCTCTTGGCTCAATATTTTCTATTATTTATTTTTCCAAGTATAAAATTTCATTTGTGGTAGCCCCTTGGGTCATGGTTATCAGAAACAAACAACTGAAATAGATACGTGGACGAGATTGGACTCACATACCATATTGGTTGGCAAACTACAGTAAGCCAATAAGGGGTTTTAGGACATATATTTTAAAAGTCCCAGAATCATTGTAGATATCAAAGATCTCTGAATCCCCTTTCAATTTGCCTTGGGTCCTTTGCTAACATGCCACACAAATCAGTCAACATAGTCTTTAAACTTTTGCTTCCCCTCTAGTTTCATGAATGTGAGCCTGGGGAAAATATGTCAAGCCTGGGGAAAATATGTTCCTCCCTCACCTGTCTTTTTTCTTAAAAGTCACACCCATTGGGTAATGAGTGAATACACTGGGTATTCTTTTTAATAAAGAACTATTTTGTGCCAAAGTGACCATTTCAGTTGTTCCTATGCTATGTCATTAAAAGAAATACATAAAAGGGGCTACTTCCCACTTAGACATTCTAAAATGTTACCTCAAAAGATAGCCCCCTACCAATCATATTATCAATTTCCTGCCAATCCCACTATAATCAAACTTTTTTCTTTCAACTAATTTATCCCCCTGTTAAATTCCAATTCTTTCCCAACTTTACCACTAAATGCTCCCTCTATACAGTTAGCAGTCCCATTCATACCAAGTTGCAGTAACTGGAGTTGATGCGGCATAAAGAGAGCCTTAGTCTCCTTCCCTTCCTGATTCAATTTGATCAATGAGACCCCCTTTGTCTTATTCATGTCGGGTTTACAGTTGCTTGGGTCTTGCTTCTACTCAGTCATCCTCACTTGAGCCAGGGTACTGATCCCTGACCTCCTAAGAGAACTATTGTTATCTAAAGAGTTCTTCCACGCTGCCTCCTTCCCATATTCATTGGAACCTTGTGATCTCCTTTCAAGCCCAGACCAAATGGTCATCTTCCATTTTCACTGTAAAATAGGAGTTGAAAGCTTTACTCCTCTCCCAGGAGCCAGCTCTAGACCTGATAGTCTAACTTTTACTCCCTCATGCCTGCTGGCCATAAAAAGGAAAGTGGGACCCACGGGGTATCATCAATTTATATCTCAAAATAATATAATTCTTCCCTGTCCCACAACAAGACAAAGTTCAAGCCCTTTCCACAAGTGAAAATTAACGGAGAAACCAAAAACAAAAAAATTTAACAGTTCAGCTAAACGTGTACACACATGAAATCTCTTCATTTTTTTTTAGCTGCTGTTGGGAAACTCTTAAGCAGATACCAGGTAAGCATGTGGTACTTTGTATTTCAATCATTTTGATTAAAAGGATGGAGGCACACTCATCAACATATGCCAAGATAGATGAGCCTACAATAATAGAGCACCCTGGTCCTTGAGGTTTCTGCAGTCAGCTTCCTTTATACTCCAGATTCCCATGGTACAAATGTAAGTGACCTGGCAGCATTCTGTTAAAAGTGTTTTATGCCCTTTGCCCTCGGAAGACAAACACATTCACTTTAGCCTTTGCACCAGAATATAGCAAGCTGGACACCAATGTCTCCCCAGGCATAAGGAACTATTACTCCGTCTCCATTCTCTAGAGGAATAATACAGTGCCCACAGAATCCATGGGAGTTAAATAAATATTTGCTACAAATAACACTGGTGTTTGGAATTCATTATTAGGGAATTGTTGTAATGGATTTTTCAGACTGTTCCTCAGATAAATCTTCTGACTACCCCCTGATGAGCAGCAGAAGTGCAGCAACTCTTAAATTGACATGATTAACCTAAATTGTAAGTTGTCACCATGTTCTATGCTATATATCCTTTCAGCTTTGAGGCTAACAAGCCTTTCCTAGAAAAATACAAAAATGCCATGCATTTTACCACTTCAACACATGATTATTTATTGCATCACTTCACTTGAATCCCAGGAGTTAGATCTGCATACATAACTCTGGAATCACCGACATAAACTGTAAACCACTATACAAATATAAGCATCCTCATTGCCATCATCACCATCATCATCCTCATCATCATTATTCATAAAATCTGTTCTTTTTCCCTCCAGTATTTCCCTATGAATCACCATTTCCTCTCCGGTACACAATCACTGTCCTTCTGGACCCTCATTGCCTCATGCCTGAATATCACAATGCATTTGTAAACAACTTTTCTAACTCCGTGATCTCCCAGCCCCCAATTCATCTCATACAGGACTATCAGATGCAGCTCACTAAAAATCTGCATTTACTATGTTTGAAACGCTCTAATTCATTCAATATTCACTTATTGAGAACATACCATGTAGAAACATTCACTATGAGGGAAGCAAAGATGAACAAGACAAGAGAGCAAAATATGTATACACAAATTACTATAGTCCTAGGCAGAACTGAGAGCTGACAGAACAGAATTAAAACACAGTTCTATGCAAACTCAGAGATGGTAGGATTTAATTCTCATTGAGTACATTCGGAAAGGTGTAATTGAGGTGGTGGGATCTGGAGGCAGCTTCAAAGAAAATAATAAATTTTTTGAATGGTAGAGATAGGAAAACCTATAGGAGGAGAAAAATGTGAGCTAAGGTACAAAAGCAGAAGATCATAGGTTATATATTTTAGATATATATATTTACAGCAATGCCATGATTACACCGAAAATGCAGTGTGTGTGAGTTTCCTATACCAATTTATACTGTAGATTTATAGATCACATATCCTCCTCGACCCGTCCACCCTTCATCAGCCAGTACCCACATTAGAAATAACAGGGGGAGAGTTGAAAAAATGGAAGAAAAATTAAGATTCCCTTATCTTTTTATCACCTGTTAGTTTTTTTTTTTTTAATTAATTTTGCCAGATCAAACATTTTAACTTACCTTAAGGTGGGACAAAGCTGTTTCCAACAGACCCTTAGTTCTTCCAGAAGAAAGCAAAAGGTGATTCAGCTGACTAGTTAGGAAAAAGCTGAGGACAGTTGTTTTCCTTATAAGTTGATTTTCTTGCTACTCTGCCAATTTAATCTAATAACCTACCTCTGCTTCTAAAAGTCACAAGCACCATAGCCACCTCCAAACAAGAAACAGGTCATGTTCTCTTTTTGGTGCTGTCATTTGCCTTGCAGTTTACTGCCCCAACTCTGACACCAATTGCTCCCACTGCCTAGTCTCTAGTTGCTATGTATTTGTGTTTATAAAAGTATAGTATAGGAAATACCCAATAATTTGTTTTATTTTGTTCTGTGAGTCTTGTTTTATGTTTTTCCTTGATTATGAATCACTATGATTATAGTGATTTGGGGGGATAATACCAAAACCTATGTTTTTATCAGGCATCTCAGAAGAATTCAAGCAAGAGCAATTCATTGTTTAAATTGAATTTATGGCTGCTGAATGAAGACAAAACTTATGTAAAAAGGCTAAAGTTAAGTATAGAAAAGATAAGAAATCCTGCTCTTGGAGCTCCATATTAGCCAAATGACAGAAAGCTGAATTCTGACTAAGTTTAAAAAAAACTGTTCAAGTCCTTAACTGTGAACTCTTCAGTGTTATGCGAAACCCTGTCTCTACCAAAAATACAAAAAAATTAGCCGGACATAATGGTGCACACCTGTGGTCCCGGCTACACAGGAGACTGAGGTGGGAGGATCACCTGGGCCTGGGAGGCGGAGGTTGTGGTGCACTGAGATCACACCACTGCAGCCCAGCCTGGGCAACACAGTGAGGCACCATCTCAAAACCTCCCCCCGCCAAAAACAAAACAAAACAAACAAACGAAAAAAAAAAAAACTAAAAAAATTAACCCCTTCTTTGCTCAGGAACTGAAAACCACCTTTGTAAAGCTAATGAAAGGCCACAAGAAAAAGGTTATGGGAGGCGTCTGAACTTTGTCACCTTGGCTGGAGTACAGAGGCATGATCTTGGCTCACTGTAGCCTCTGCCTCCTGGGCTCAGGAGATCTTTTCACCTCAGCCTCCTGAGTAGTGGGAACTACAGGAGTGCGCCAAAACCGCAACCCCTGCCCAGGTAGTTTTTTGTGTTTTTGGTAGAGAGGGGGTTCTGCCATGATGCTCAGGCTGGTCTTGAACTCCTGGCCTCAAATGATCCACCCACTTCAGCCTGCAAAGTGCTGGGATTATAGGTCTGAGCCACCATGCTGGCCCAGCGTTGTATATTAAACAAGATCAACAAAAAGTCCAATTCATTCTCACAAAAGTGGCTAAAAGAATATTCCTCTGTTACCATCTTGCTGACTCTTCTTCGACTTTCTGATTTTTCTGTTTGTACCTCATGTTATTTTTATTCATCAGCATCTGCACCTCATACCCGCTACTGCTTCAGGGCTCTTCTTGGAGCTGCTTCTTGGCCTTTCCTTATATCAATGCTTTAAAAAACTTCATTTAATGTTGGGTGCGATGGCTCACGCCTGTAATCCCAGCACTTTGGGAGGTCGAGGTGGCCATATCACGAGGTCAAGAGATCGAAACTATCCTGGCCAACATGGTGAAACCCTGTCTCTACTGAAAATACAAAAATTAGCTGGGTGTGGTAGCAGGAACCTGTAGTCCCAGTACTTGGGAGGCTGAGGGAGGAGAATCGCTTGAACCCAGGAGGTAGAGGTTGCAGTGAGCCCAGATCGTGTCACTGCACTCCAGCCTGGCGACAGAGTGAGACTCCATCTCAAAAAAAAGAAAAAAAAAACAAATAACAAAACACACAAAAAAACTGCATTTAAGTACAAAATATGTATAAGTTAAATTTACATATTCTCATTTGTCCAAGGAGTTAAATTAATCCTCTGCCTCCATTTTGGCACACTCATCACAGGATTGTGCAAGAACCCCGTCTTGATGTATTTATTTAATTTCATTTTATTTCCATTCTAATAAGCTTTGATATTCTTTTCATATTAATATATCCTACAAAAACATGTATCATAGTTTGAAGTGCATAAACTTTTTATTTCATTGACAGTATTGTTCTATAGCTCCTATTGTAGTTCTTAGGCATATAGAGCAAACATTTTGCAACCAGATGCCCAAGTTCAGATCTAGAATGTCCACTTACAATGTCACCTTATATACCTCAGCTTCTTCATCTATATAAAACATGGATGTAATAATCCATCACACGGTTGTTATGAGCTCTGAACAGTAACTGGCACATAGTAAATACTAGTAAGTGTTTTCTATTATTGTTAACATTACTATATGTTTCATATATCCTTATTTCATAAGATCTCTCCATGTTACTACACAAAGCTGGGCTATGACTTCTAACTGCCACATCATATCCCATATTGTATGTCCACTATATTCCATTTCTCCATTATCCCTACTAGACTTGATATTGAACATCCCCTTACATGCCTGATAACTGAGTAATTTTTCTGCAAATAGTCTGCTCCTACTTTTCCTATATTTTATTGTTTTTTCCTATATTTTTCTTATTTATTTGTAAAGTTCCCTGTGTGTTGTAGACATATATCTCCTGTCAGATATAGACATTATAAATACCTTTCCCATTCTTTTCTTTTTTTTTTTTTTTTTTTTTTTTTTTTTTGAGACGGAGTCTCGCTCTGTCGCCCAGGCTGGAGTGCAGTGGCGCGATCTCGGCTCACTGCAAGCTCCGCCTCCCGGGTTCACGCCATTCTCCTGCCTCAGCCTCCCGAGTAGCTACACAGGCGCCCGCTACCACGCCCGGCTAATGTTTTGTATTTTTAGTAGAGACGGGGTTTCACCGTGTTAGCCAGGATGGTCTCGATCTCCTGACCTCGTGATCCGCCCGCCTCGGCCTCCCAAAGTGCTGGGATTACAGGCGTGAGCCACCGCGCCCGGCCCCTTTCCCATTCTTATATCTGTTTATTTTGTTCATGACACCCGTAATTTAAAAGAAATCTTTAATTTTAACACAATCAAATAAATCCATTCTTTCAGCTCATGATTTGTGCTTTTCAGATTTTCTTTATGAAGTCGTTCCTCAACCTTAGGTGACAAAAATAGTCTCCTATATCATAGACGGTTAACTTTGCAGGATTATTCTACCTGAAATCCAACTTTGTAGTGTTAGGCAGAAATTTAGTTTCATTTTGCTCCACGGAGTGATCCAGTTTTTGCAAACTATTTACTAAACAATCTGTCCTTTCTTCATTAATTTGGGCTGGGATGATTTCTATGAAACACTCTGGATGGCAAAAGCCAGCTGCCTAATATATAAAAACCTATCCTAATGCTAAATTCTGTATGTTTCTCTCTAAGACTATTGAGTTCTTTTGGTCGGGTGTGTACACAAAGCTTTCATGCATAATCATTTCCTCTCAAGTTTATGTGGGCATTTCTTTTACCAAGTTCACATGGGACAATAAATTCAAAGCAAATATTCAACTTGCCTACTCGTTCACTTGCAGAGACTGGTATGCTTGTTTAAAGAACAAACTTAAACAGGGCCTAGTTTGGCCCTTGTTTTGGATTCTGTTTCTGAGAAGTGGCTTTCCATTTTTCTTATGCCAAAACTAGCCTTTTCTTGGAAGCCTCCTTGAATTTATTTTCCTCTAGCTACCATGTTTCTCCCGAGTCTCCAGAAGGATTTTATCATTCAACCAATTTTGAGTAACTACTATGCACTAGGCAAAGTACAAGTTAAGCTGTGTGAACAAGACAGTGAATAACAGTAAACTGCACAGAGGCTCTGATCCAATGGAACTAACAGTGAAGAGACTAATTAAATGAATAATCAAATATATCTACAAATTATAAACTATGGTAAGTGCTAAGAAGGAAATCACTGAGGTACTGTGTGAGAATATAATTGAGGAGGTAGATGCCTTACTTAGACAAGGGATTTTTAAGGCATTTTTGAAGAAGTGGAGTTTAAGATATGAGCTGATGAAGTAGGAGTTATCCAAGTGGAGGAGCCACATGTGAAGGCCCTGAGAGGGAAACGAGCTTGGTGGGTAACTGTGAAGCCCTGAAAGAGAGTCTAATGGCTGCCAGAAAGGTTTTATATTGTATGATTAGACTGTGATTTGAGATCATGGGAATTGGAACCATTTAAGTCTTTCTAAACCAAAATTCTCACAAAGACCAGGATTCCATGGTGTTTCTGGAGGAAACTACCGATTAAGCAAAATTGTTTAAAATCCTCAGAGATTCTTAGAAGTTCTCTAAAGCTGAGAGTTCCAAATCAGGATACGAAGATTGAAAAGATAGTTCTCCTTCCACTTACAATGTACATAGATGCAAGAGAGTATCACTTTCATCCTAAGTACAAGGAAAATTCAGAAAATCTATAAAGTCATAATTTTTTTGGAACCTATGAGAGCCAAGTTTTCAAAACAACCAAATATATAGAATTCTAAAATGCTTTTCCAAGAATTGGGAACTATTAACTGTTGTGCCCCTGGCAGAACATGGGAAGAAGAGGTAGCAGCAATAGAAGTGAGTAAAAAGGAAACAACGAATCTTTTAATGTATCTTAAAGGCTAACTGTGGGCTAACACGATAATTTAGAATCCCTGAGAGCTCCAGACACAAAGGGAGTCTGCACAAACTCACCAGCAATTTTACACCTCCTTCTACCAGCTGCTCACAAGAAAGACTGAGAGGCAGAAGACATGAGAGAGTCTCTCTCAGGGGTACCATCATAGAAGTGGCACAGTAGTATGGAGAATTGGCACAAACCCAGCAGTGTCCTAGACTCATATATCTTAGAAAGTAAAACCCTCACACTCACCTCCCCCTTACCAGGTGAATGATGATAAGCACTGGGGCAGTGTTGGAAATTAGTGTCCCATGATGTTGGAAAAAAGACTAGAAAGCGCTCCTAAAAACGAACCCCCTGGAAAAAAAAAAGTCTTTAATTGCTGGGGTGTGACAGAAATCCACCCTTCCCACGCTGCACCGAAATGAAGCAAAAATAAAAACATCTGTCACTAGGGGAAGGACAGGAAGTGCATTCATGTTCAGGATCTTAAATTAATACAAAGCAGAGGGCTGCTGCAATAAAAGAGAAACAGGAAATTTGGCTGTACCCAAGATCCCCCAAAGACAGAAAGCAGAGTTTGGCTGACATAGGAAGAAAGGTCAGGAATGTTAAGAAAGCCCACTGCTCAGGCTCAAGAACAAAAAGCTACCTAAGACTGATGCCGGATAAGAAAAACAAAGGTATCCTCTAATATCACCACAAACAGTCTTGAAGCAAGTAAAAAACAATGGCACATTACCACAAGGGAGGTGAAAGAGCACCACTGCGAGAGACACATCTGACCTGCAGGCACAGAAGGCCTGCTAAAAAGAAGGATGGATCTGAGGATGGATGAGGAAGACTCAGGACTACCACTCCCTCCCATTTCACTCTGGAAATCTAGAACTTCCACTAAGAACAAAATAACATGTTTTCTACTGTAGGAATTTGAAGTCTATGTCACAATAAAATAACTAGCAACAACAAAATTCAAACCCAGTGAAACTACTGGGATTAATTTAACTCCCCATGCTAATGACCTGATAGGAAAAGAGGTGTGGCAATTGCAAGGCATAAATACTATTTCCTTCAGTTTCTACTGACCTATATACAATGTCAGCAGTAAAAAAATATGAGACACAAACATGACAAACTCACAGCTAACATCATACTGAAAAGGTAAAAACTGAAAACCTTTTCTGTAAGATCTGGATTAAGACAAAGATGCCCACTTTCACTACTTTTATTCCACATAGTGTTAGAAGTCCTAGCCAATTAGACAAGAGAAAGAAATAAAAGGCATTCAATTTGTAAAAAAAAAAAAAAAAAAAAAAATCATATTAGCTTTCCTTGCAGATGACACGATCTTATACTTGGGAAAACCTAGACTCCATCAAAAAAGTTTTAGAGCTGATAAACAAATTCAGTAAAGTTACAGAATATGAAATTAACATAAAATGTCAGTAGCATTTCTATATGCTAACAGCAAACAATCTGAAAAAGAAACCAAAAGGGTAAAACCATTTACAATAGCTTCAAATAAAATAAAATATAAGAAGTAAACTTAGCCAAAAAAGTAAAATATCTCTACAATGAAATCTGTAAAACATTAATAAGAGAAATTGAAGAGGACACAAAAAAATGGAAACATAGTCTCTGTTTACGGATTGGAAGAATCAATATTGTTAAAAATGTCAATACTATGCAAAGCAATCTACAGATTCATTGCAATCCCTATCAGAATACTAATGACATTCTTCACAAAAATAAAAATAGTAATATTAAAATTTATATGGCAACACACACACATAAAATAATAGCTAAACCAATCCTGAGCAAACAGAACAAAGCTGGAGGCATTGCACTACCTGACTTTGAAATGAACTACAAAGATATAATAACAAAAACAGTATGGTACTGGCATAAAAACAAACAAATAGACCAAGAGAACAGAACAAAGAAGCCAGAAATAAATCCATGCATTTACAGTCAACACACTTTTGATAAAGGGACCAAGAACATACATTGTAGAAAGAACAGTCTTCTCAATAAGTGGTGCTAGAAAAACCAGATATCCATATGCCAAAGAATAAAATTAGACCTCTATCTCTTGCCATATATAAAAATCAAATTAAAGTGGATTAAATAGTTAAATGTAAGACCTGAAACTGAAAACACTAGAAGAAAATATTGGGGAAACAATCTAGGACATTGGTCTGAGCAAAGATTTCTTGTGTAAGAACTCAAAAGCATAGGCAATGAAAGCAAACATGGACAAATGGGATCACAGCAAGCTAAAAAGATTATCCACAGCAAAGGAAACCATCAACAAAGTGAAGATACCACCTACAAATGGGAGAAAATATTTGCAAACTACCTATATGACAAGAGATTAATAACCAGAATATACAAGGAACTCAAATAACTCAATAGTAAAAAAAAAAATAATAATAATCCAATTTAAGAATGAGCCAAAAATATGAATACGTATTTCTCAAAAGAAGACATACAAATGGCCAAGAGCCATATCAAAAAAATGCTCAGTATCACTGCTTATCAGAGAAAGGCAAAACTACAATGAGATACCATATCACCCCAGTGAAAATACTTTTATCAAAAAGATAGTCAATAATAGATACGGGTGAGGATGTGGAGAAAAGGAAATGCTTACATTGTTGGTGGGAATACAAATGAGTACAGTCACTATGGAGAACAGTATGGCAGTTTCTCAGAAAACTAAAAATAGAACCATCATATGATCCCATATGATCCAGCAATCCCCTTGGTGGGTATACATCCAAAAGAAAAGAAATCATTATATGGAAGAGATTTCTGCAATCCCATGTTTATTGCAGCACTATTCACAATAGCCAATATATGGAATTAACCTACATGTCCATCAACGGATGAATAAACAAAATATTGTGCATATTCACAAGACAATATTATTCTGCTATAGAAAAGAATAAAATTCTGTTATTTGCAAAAACTTAGATGAAACTGAAGGACATTATGTTAAATGAAATAAGCCAGGCACAGAAACAGAAATATCACATGTTCTCATTTATCTCTGGAAGCTGAAAAGTTTGATCTCATAGAGATAGAGAGTAGAATGATGGTTATCAGAGGCTGCAAAGGGTAGTGGGGAGGGATGAACAAAGATGGCTTGGTTAATAGGTACAAAAATACAGTTAGATATAAGGAATATGATCTAGTGTTTGGTAGCACAATAGAGTGACTATAGTTAACAATGATTTATTGTGTATTTCAAAATAGCTAGAAGAATAGAATTGGAATGTTAATAACACAAAGAAATGATAAATGTTTAAGGTGATGGATATTTTAATTACAATTTGATCATTATACATTGTATGCTTATATCAAAATATCACATGTACCCCATAATTATGTGCAACTACCATGTATCCATAAAAATTTTAAAACTTAAAAAATTATGAGACATAAAATATCAGCAAGAAAAATAGATCCATTGTCAAGAAATTAAGCAGTCAACAGAACTAGACCCAGAGATGGTCCAGATAATGGTACAACCAGATAGAGACTTTAAAATGAATATGGGCTGGGCACAGTGGCTCACACCTATAATCCCAAAGCTTTAGGAGGCCAATGCAAGAGGATCACTTGAGGCTAAGAGTTCCAGAGCAGCACTGGGCAACATAGCAAGACCCCATCTCTTCAAAACATTTAAACTTTAGCCAGATGTAGTGGTGTATGCCTATAGTCCTAGCTACTTGGGAGGCAGAGGCAGGAGGATTGCTTGAACCCAGGAGTTCGAGGTTACAGTAAGCTATGATCGTGCCACTGCACTCTGGTCTGGGTGACAGAGCAAGACCCTGCCTCAAATAAATAAATTAATTTAATTTAATGAATATGATTAGTATGTTAAAAGCTAGATGAAATGGGCAAACTCTTGGAAAGAACAGATAATAATCATAATAGCTCTACATCTACTAAAGAAATTAAAGACTCCTCCAAAGAAAACTCTAGACCAAAATGGCTTCACAGAATGAAATCAACCAAAAATTTAGGAAAGAATTAATATAAATTTTAGATCACCTCTTTAAGAAAGTCGACAAGGCTTGACACTTGACAACTCATTTTATTAGGCCAGCATAAACCTATCACCAATACCAGAAAAACACTGCAAAAAAACACACAAAGATATACTTTATAAATATAGAAGTAAAAAAAATATAAATATTCAAATCTAAACACAGTTTTTAAAATTACTAGCAGTCCAATCCAGCAACATACAAAAAGGACAATACAACACAATTCAGTTAGCTTATCCTAGGAAAGCAAAGTTGGTTCAACATTAAAACTTCAATTAATTTAATTCATCATATTAACATACTAAGAAAGCAAAAGTAACATATGACTATCTTGATTGATGCAGAAAAAAATTTAACAAAATTCAACATCCATTCACACAAAAATTCCCAACTTGAAACATAAGGGAATTCTTTAGTCTTAAAAGGAACATGTGTAAAATACTACAGAATACATACAACGGTGAAAGACTGAATATTTTATCCCTAAGATCATAAAAAAGACAAGTTGATCCACCCTCACCACTCCTAATGAACACTGAATTGGAGTAAATTTGCACATTCATGCATGTGGGAACACATATACATACACACACACACATACACACACACACACACACACACATACGCACCATACAGGTTGGAAAGAAGGAAGTATAACTCTCTCTCTCCACAGACTACATGATTGTTTACATAGAGAATCCCAGGAAATCCACAATAATGCTACTATAGCAAATTTGTTTATAATATCAAAAAGCTGGAAATAGTTAAATGTCCATTAATTGGTGAATGAATAAACACATTGTGGTGCATAAACGCAAAAGAATATTCCTTATTAACATCAAGTAAAAATAATTGATACATGCAACATGGATAAACCTCAAAATCATTATGGCCAGTAAAGAAGTCAGACATGAAAAGCTGCATATTGTAAAATTCTTCTTATACGACATTCTAAAATTTTTACAAAAAGCAAAACAAGTTTAGAAAATGGATCAATGCTTGCCAGCAGCTGGGGCTAGAAACAAGAGATTGACTGCAAAAAAGCATGAGTGAACTTTTTGGGGTAATAGATAATAGATATATGCTATATCTTGATTGTGGTGGTGGTTATGGTAACTATAAATCTGTCAAAATTCATTGTTTACTCTAAAAGGTATATTTTAGGGTCTTTAAATTGTACCTTAATAAATATAGCTTTTAAATGAAAGATGACTAGGACAGTCTCTGTATCATGGAGTTTGCAATTTAGTGTTGGAGACAGATAAATGAACTAACTATAATATAATGTGTTAAAGGTAGCATTTCAACAAATATTTCATTTGACATGTATTTGTGGAGGTCATACTAAGTGCTAAGCACTGTTTTAGTCCTTAAGATACATCAGCAAAAAAACCAAAATTTTTAAATGAAGTTTACATTGTATTGAGGGCACATGCATAATAAGTTTAAAAAAATAAAGAAATTATAATATATTAAGTAATAAGTGCTATCAAAAAAGGAAAATTAGTACAGGGTAAGGGAGATAGGAATATGAAGGTGGAGGAGGTAAAGGTCTTGTTGCAATGTAAAATCAGGTGGTAAGGGTAAATTGCACTGAGAAAGTGATATTGGAGCAAAGAAATGTGAGCCATGTAAACCATGGGAAAGCATGTTCGAGGCAGAGGTAAAATCCCATGAACTGGCCAATGAATTTGGTGAGAGAATGTGTGATGTGTTCCAGGAATAGCGAGTAGGTCTGGAACAGACTGAGCAAGGCAAAGAATAGTAGAAAACAAGGTTAGAAAGGTCATAGGAAGGTGAATTGTGTGGGACCTTTATAGACCGTTGTAAGTGATATAGTTTGGCTGTGCCCCACCCAAATCTCATCTTGAATTGTAGTTCCCATAATCTCCACGTGTCATGGGAGGAACCAGGTGGAGATAATTTTGAATCATGGGAGCTGTTTCCGCCATCCTGTTCTCATGTAGTGACTTAGTTCTCATGAAATCTGATGGTTTTATAAGGGGTTTCCCCCTTCACTCATTCTCCCTTTCCTGCTGTCCTGTGAAGAGGTGACTTCCTCAATGATTGTAAGTTTCCTGAGGCCTCACCAGCCTCAGGAACTGTGAGTCAGTTAAACCTATTTTTTTTTTTTTTACATAAATTACCCAGTCTCAGCTATGTCCTTATAGCAACCTGAGAATGGACTAATACAGTAAGGATTGGGGTTTTTATCCTGTCAAATGGGAGACATTGAAATCAACCTAAATGCCTATCAATGACAGATTAGATAAAGTGTGGTACATACACACCATAAAATACTTTGCAGCCACAAAAAAGAATGAGATCATGTCTTTTGTGGGAACATGGATGGAGCTGTAGGCTATTATCCTTAGCAAACTAATGCAGGAACAGAAAACCAAATATCGCATGTTCTCACTTGTAAGTGGGAACTAAATGATGACAACTCATGGACACAAAGAAAGGAACAACAGACACTGGGGCCTACTTGAGGGTGGAAGGTGGGAGGAGGGACAGGAGCAGAAAAAATAACGATTGGGTACTTGGTTTAGCACCTGCGTAATAAAATAATCTGTACAACAAACCCCCATGACACGAGTTTACCTATATAACAAACTTGCACTGTACACCCAAATCTAAAATAAAAGTTAAAAAAAATTTTGTTTTATTTTGTAAATTTCTATATTTAATAATTTTATAATTTTAAGTTACATAATAAAATATAATTCCAACTGTACAGCAATATAAACAATGCAAAATTACAAAATTGATAACAAATAACTTCTGTCCATTGCAGGATCTTGAGAGGAATATATCATGATCCGACTTTCATTTTAAAAGGATCACTCTGGTCTTCATGTTGAGAATGGAAGGTTGGGACAAGGGTAGAAACCACTTAGGAAACTATTAGAGTAATCCTAGGGAAAAGATAATGATGACTTAAAGATGGTGATAAAGGATATAGAGAGAAAGGTTCCAATTCTGAATGTATTTCAGATGTTGAGCCAACAAGATTTCTTGATGGATTGAATATAGATATAAAGCAGAGGCAAGAATGAATGATTTTGGACCTGATCAATGACAATTATGAAGTTGTAAATAACTAATGGAAAACCTTGTTACAGAAGTTGGGAGTAACGCAGGGGTTTGGTCTGAGATATTTGGGGGTAAAATTTGTACTACACATTGAAGTGAAAGTGTAGAGTATATAGATATATGCCTCTGGGGTTTGGGAGAGAGGTATAGGGTGGAGATATACATTTAAGAGTTGATGGCTATATATCATTTAAAACTTTATGAATGGATAAAATCACTAAGGGAATAAATTTAAAAAGAAAAGAGTACCAATCACTGAGCCTTGAGTTTCTGAAGTTAAGGAGACTGAGAAGATGAACCTGAGAGGAAAAGGAAAGGAAGAAAATCAGAAGAGTGTGGTGAAGGAAGTATGTCAAGAATTATGTCAAATTCTGCTGATGGAATAGTAACTAAGGATAGTCCACTGGGTTCAGTAACATGGTAACATGAATAAGCTTTAAAAAGTGTAACTTCAAAGGAGTGGAGGGGCAAACATCTAAAAGAGGTAGGTTAAAAGAGAATTAAGGAACACAATTAAAGACAAGGACTATAGATGACTCTTTCAAGGAATTCAATAATAAAAGTGAGCAAAGAAATAGTATGGTAGCTGGTAGGGAAAGTAGGGTCAATAGGTTTTCTTATTGTTTGTTTTACTTTTTATTATCAAGAATTTTATATATACACGTAAGTACAGAGAATAGTATAGTACTCATCACCAAGCTTTGATCATTATCAATATTTTGCTAATCTAATTTCATCTATATCCCACCTCACTCTTAAAGCGTATCTTATGTTTCATATTATTTCACCTAAAAATACTTTAGAATGTAATTTCAACTGATGAGAGCATTTTGGCATAACCACAATACCACTGTCACAGCAAACAAAATTTATGACAAGTCCTTAATATTGTCTAGGACCTAATAAGTTTTGTTTTGCTTTGTTTTTTGAGATAGGGGAAACAATAGAATGTATTTATGATAATTACAATAATCTAGTAGGAAAAAAATTGACTGATATAAAAGAGACAAAAAATATGGTTGGAATTGTATCCTTGAGTAGGCAAGACAGGCATGTGATCTAGTGCACAAGCAGAGGAATAGCTTTAGATAAGAGTATGGATAGTTTATGATAATAGATGAGAAAGCATAGTATTTGGTGTGGTTACAGGTGCTGGCTGGGCACTTTGGCAAATAGGGTAGTGGGATAATGTGTAATATCTCTTACATCTGCTTTTATTTTTAGTGAATAAGATGCAAGGTCACTAGGTAAAATAGAGGATGGGCTTGGAGATGCTGGGAATTTGCAGAGAGAAAATAAGATGTCAAATAATAATCCAAGATATTTAGACAGTAAATAGCTAGGGACATCCACTATGCTTTTATGAGCTTACTTGAAAGTTGTGGTCATATATTTAAGGTGAGAGTAATCAATGTGGTTGAGAATTTTTCTCTAGCTAGAATCAGTTCCAGAATGGTGGAGCTACCCACAGAATATTATACATTTATGTGGGTCTGGCTAGCCCCAATGACCAGGGGAAATGTATTTTGAATGATGCAATAACCAACATGAGCCTAAAATAATAAAGATGAATCAGAAAAAGAAATGTGGTGAATGGCAGGGTGAGAACACAAGAAGAGGCACTGAAAACACACAAGGCAAAGAAGTGAGGGAAAAATGTTTGAGTTTAAGAAAATACATCAGTTTGATTTTGCTGAAATTTAAAATGTAAAGAATGGAGTAGTAACACATCAAGCTAGAAAAGGATGTAGACCACACAGAGCTTTATAACAGACCTGGGTTTTATCCAGCAGACAATGAAAGGTTAACAAATGGTTTTAAAAAGGGAAGTGTAAAGATTCCATTGTACAGTTTGAATAAAAATAAATAAAATAAGACATGTGAGGATTTGGGAAAGACACACGCAAAGTCAGGAACCACCATGAAGTGAGGCGTTTGGAGCAGGAATCCCCCAGTCAAGAAACAACAAGTTTCTGAACCAGAGCAGGGGAAAGGAAAAAGGCAGGAAATGAAAGAAGGAAATCAATTAAACAAATATTTAGATGTGGAATTAGCAGGATTTAATAATTATTTCAGGGATCTCCAAAATGGAGTAGAATGACTATATAGTAGTTATAGGAAATAAATATTAGAACTTCTTTTATCTTAATAAATAGAGTTTTCTTATATTTAATACATTGATTGATAATGCATGTAAATAATAACTAAATGAACTCATTTTGAAGTGCCTGATTAACATTTTTTACTATTAGGGTGCAAGTTCACAATAGTTTGGAGACCACTGTTTAGATGTGGATAGAGTGTAGGAAGAAAAAGGAATAGAGAAGACTGGTTTCTATTCAAGTGACAGGTATATATTTTTGCCACCAAATAAGACAGAAAATAACAGATTAGAAGACAGTTTTAGGGAAGAGTGACAATAGATTTAATTTTGGATGTATGTTTAGGTATCTGAGGACATCTTGGTAGAGCTTTCCAGCTGACAATTGAATAAATTGGTTTGAAACTCATTAGTTAAACGTACAGATTTGGAAACTAATAAGGTACAATGCTGGTTAAAACTCTGGAAGTGGGTAAGTGGAAGACCACTAAGTGGCAGGTCCAGGTGGAGGTGAAAGGGATAACGATATTTGCTGGCAGGAATGGTAGTGTCAGTGTTGATAGGGTTGAGGTGTATGGAAAAGATAGTCATGAGAAATTCAAAAAGAAATAAAGATGAGCAGAACTAGAAAAGCTGAATACAGAAAACAACAGTGCAGAATATTTTAAGAAGTAGCAGGTATCAATAGCATCAATGCAGGAAAGGCACAATGAAAATAAAGAAGGGAAGAATAAATTTTGCCAGCTGGAACATTTGTATCCTTCATGTAAGCAATATTTTAGAAAAAGTAATTGGTAGCAGAAAGGTAAGTGCATGGCGGAGTAAATAGAAATAAAGAAGGAGAGGCAGTGAATATAAACTACCTTTTGAGAATTCTGGATAAGTAGGAGGAAAAGATATTTATTTTGCTCATATCCACTTCAATTCTTCTTTGTCTCCATGTCTGTAAGTCTTCATCGTCTTTAACAGTACTATTATAATAATTACTGCCCTCTAGGGATGAAAGAGACAAAGAAAAAAAAAGAAGAGACAATATTAGCAGTTACAATAACAACAATTGCAATGATACTATTTAATATTTAAATACCACAGCAACCCACTTAGGTAGGCCCTTAATTTTTATTCAATTTTTGTAGGTGAACTAAGACTGAAAGTGACAAGTGATTAGATCGAAGTATACAGCTTGTAATGTAGAAATGATTGCTATGCACCTTGAGATCAAACTTTGTACAATCCAGAGTGAGTCTGGTTCACTCCGCCTTACAGGAATAAGACTGGCCTGAAGGCCCAGGAATTTTCCTCTTCTAGAACCACCTCTGGCTATCCTTTTCTATATATACTGAATTTTTAGTCTTCATTCTGTGTTATGAAGTTGTTCCTTTCTGTCTGCTCTGTACTAGGACTTCAATCCCTCTTCTTTAGCTTTCACCAGAAAGAAATCCCATTCCATGTGTGTTTAAAGGCCACACTTCACAGAGAGTTTGGCTAGATGGAGAGCAGGAAGTAACATCACAGCAAAGAAAACAACTTCATACTTGTTATCTTTGTTTTTTTTTAAGTCTTTTAGACAATTCTGGCCATTCTGGTTCCGGGTTCTTTCCATGTTATTTGACTCCATCTCTCTCTTTCCCTTCTCATTGCTACTTTCAAGATTCAAAATGCTGGCTTATCATCCTATATATATATATATAGAGAGAGAGAGAGAGAGTAATGTCACTCTAGTATTTTTGTTAAATCTTCTTCAATTCCTGGTGTTTTTCTTTCCAACTCCAAGTGACCTAAAATTTGCATATCTTTATTTTCCTAAGTAAGGACTGTTCCTTCCCTAAAAGGAATTTTATTTTCAGTGAATAAAAATATGCTTTCTCATTCAGTCACACATGTAAAAGCTTTGGTCATGCATCTTTTGATCTATAATCACAATTGATTAAATCAGCTGTTTTTGCTGACCATAGTTGGAAAACTGCCAAAATTCATGGTTAACAATTTAATTATTTCTCTAATTGAATATATGTTTAATGACATTTGCAATTTATGGTTTACTACAAATATGAACTTTGCAAGAACCCACAGATCTAGAATTTGAATATACACTTAATATAACCCCCCTGCAGATCTAATTAAACTAAAGAGCTTCTGCACAGCAAAAGAAACTACCGTCAGAGTGAACAGGCAACCTACAGAATGGGAGAAAAGTTTTGCAATCTAGCCATCTGACAAAGGGCTAATATCCAGAATCTACAAAGAAATTAAACAAATTTACAAGAAAAAATCAAACAACCCCATCAAAAAGTGGGCGAAGGATATGAACAGACACTTCCCAAAAGAAGACATTTATGCAGCCAACAGACACATGAAAAAAATGCTCGTCATCACCGGCCATCAGAGAAATGCAAATCAAAACCACAATGAGATACTATCTCACACCAGTTAGAATGGCGATCATTAAAAAGTCAGGAAACAACAGGTGCTGGAGAGGATGTGGAGAAATAGGAACACTTTTACACTGTTGGTGGGACTGTAAACTAGTTCAACCATTGTGGTAGACAGTGTGGCGATTCCTCAAGGATCTAGAACTAGAAATACCATTTGACCCAGCCATCCCATTTCTGGGTATATACCCAAAGGATTATAAATCATGCTGCTATAAAGACACATGCACACATATGTTTATTGCAGCACTATTCACAATAGCAAAGACTTGGAACCAACCCAAATGTCTATCAATGATAGACTGGATTAAGAAAATGTGGCACATATACACCATGGAATACTATGCAGCCATAAAAAAGGATGAGTTCATGTCCTTTGTAGGGACATGGACGAAGCTGGAAACCATCATTCTCAGCAAACTATCGCAAGGACAGAAAACCAAACACCGCATGTTCTCACTCATAGGCAGGAATTGAACCATGAGAACACTTGGACACAGGAAGGAGAAGATCACACACTGGGGCCTGTCGTGGGGTGGGCAGAGCGGGGAGGGATAGCATTAGGATGTATACCTAATGTAAATGACCAGTTAGTGGGTGCAGCACACCAACATGGCACATGTGTATATATGTAACAAACCTGCACGTTGTGCACATGTACCCTAGAACTTAAAGTATAATAATAAAAAATATATATATAAGCCCCCTACAGGAAAACAATAATTAAAACAATACTAAAAGAAAAAGGTACTCCTTAAGCAAATAATGCTATTCTTTGCACATAAAGAATAGGCATAAGAAAGATGACAATTTACTTTCAAGACTGAATTCAGTTGAAAGCCACATGGATGCTCAGCTGATTTATTTACTACTGAACCCCCAGTGCCCAGAAGAGTGCCTGGCTCATATTAGCCACTACATAAATATTTGTTGGATGGACAAGGTTCAGTTCTAAGTTAAAAACTAAATGCTTGAATGTGAGCTTATTTTGACCCAATTCACATACTTCTTCAATAATTTTAAGTTAGGTTCAGATAGCTAGGGAAATTAAGAAAACTATTTAACAGTTTTAATAAATGAGTCTAAAGTAACATCTACCAAGTCACTATATTTAATTTGGATAGTGTAACCATTGGAACATGTCAAAGGAGATAAAAGGAATTAAATATGAGATTGAACTCCAAAGAGAAAAAACTCTGTTAACATTTACTACATTATGCTATATATTTATATTTCACCAATTATATTAATATAATCCTTGCAAGGTAAGTGGCTGTGATAAGCAAAATAAGGCAACCTCCCTACAACCACCAAAAGATATCCATATCCTGATCTCCTGAACTTGTGAATATATTGCCCTACATCGTAAAAAAGTATTTTGAAGCTGTAATTAAGAATCTCAAGATGAGGGGGTGGGTCTAATTTAATCACATGAATACTTAAAAGTGGATAAACTTTCCTGGCTGTAGTTTGTCAGGGAAAGATGCAGTGTTGCTGAATTTGGAGAGGAAGGAATGCATCCAGCATCTAAGAATGCGTGTAATCTTTATAAGCTGAAAAAGGCAAGGAAACAGATTTTCTCTAGTGCTTCCAGAAGGAAATGCAGCCCTGTTGACACATTGATTTTCACACAAGACCCATATCAAATTTATCAAATTTGATAATAAATTATCCTATAGTTCTGGATGTGAGAACTCTGAAATAGATTTCACTGGGCTAAAATCAAGATGTCAGTACTGGTCAGCAATTTCATCACTCCAATCTCTGCTTCCTTCATCACATCTCTTTCTTTCTGGACTTGTTGGCCTCCCTCTGATAAAGTCTCACATAGGCCAGTCACAGTGGCTCATTCCAGTAATCTCAGCATTTTGGGAGGCCAAGATGGAAGGATTGCTTGAGCCCAGGAGCTTGAGACCAGCCTGGGCAACATAGTGAGAGTCCATATCTGCAAAAAAAAAAAAATTTAATTAGTTAGGCATAGTGGCATGCAGCTGTAGTCCCAGCTATCCAGGAGGCTGAGGTGGGAGGATCACTTGAGCCCAGGAGTCTGAGACTACAGAGAGCCATGTTTTCACCACTGCACTCTAGCTTGACAGTGACAGGGAAAGACCGTGTCTCTGGGTTGGGGGGCAGGGAATCATGATTGCATTGGGTCTACCCAAATAATCCAGAATAATCTTTCCATTTCAAAATCCTTAACTTTATCACATTTTTAAAATCTCTTTTACCATGTAAAGTAACATATTCACAGGTACTGGCAATAAGTTTGTGGACATATTTGGAGAGCCATTATTCTGTGCACCACACCTACAGAACTGTAAAATAATAAATTTGCATTGTAAATTCACTAAATTTGTAGTAATTTATTATAGTAGCAATTATAAACTACTACAGTTGCATTATCCTTCATATGCTTTCAAAGAAACAAAGTTTCATAGAAATTAAACATTTTACCCTAGTCACACAACTAAAGAAGGCTGAATTTTCTGAGAATCATCTTTGTCCTAAATACCATACTAACTTGGATATTAGTAGCAGTACGAAAATTAGAATATACTACTAAACATTTCATTCATGCATTGATTCAACAAACAATTATAGAGTGTCCACTATACACCTGGACCTGTTCTGGATAATGAGTTGTCTTGGTTATTAAGCATCTCTCTTCCTAACTTTCCTGTTAATAATCCCTAATCGATAAAGTCCAATTTCTGTATAAAATAAATTTATTTTAATATTATTTTCTTTACATACTACAATATACTCTGATATTTTATGAAACCTTTCAGAAGAAGTTTTACTGAAAATTATATTTAGAAGTTGGAAAGTAAATTGGCAAATTTAAGATAAAGAAGGCCACTCCCGAGCTACTCAGGTAGCTTCCTAAGGGCATGTGTACTCACCTTCTCCAATCCACTACTGTCTTAGTGTATTAATTAGTTTTCACACTGCTATAAAGATACTACCTGAGACTGGGTAATTTAGAAAGGAAAGAGGTTTAATTGACTTACAGTTCCACATGGCTGGGGAGGCCTCAGGAAACACAATCATGGCAGAAGGGGAAGGAGAAGCAAGCACCTTCTTCACAAGGCATCAGGAGAAAAAGAGAGCAGGGAAGCTGCCATGTTTATTTCTTTTAATTTTTATTTTTTTATTTTTATTTTTTTGAGACAGAGTCTTGCTTTGTCACCCAGGCTGGAGTGCAGTGGCGCAGTCTTGACTCACTGCAGCCTCAACCACCCGGCTTCAAGTAATCTTCCCACCTCAGTCTCCCAAGTAGCTGGGACCACAGGTACACACCACCATGCTCGGCTAACTTTTTGTATTTTTGGTAGAGACAGAGTCTTGCCATGTTGCCCACGGTGGTCTCAAACTCCTGAGCTCCAGCAATCCACCTGTCTTGGCCTCCCAAAGTGGTGGGATTACAGGTGTGAGCCACCATGCCCGGCAGGAACTGCCACCTTGAAACCAATCAGATCTTGTGAAACCTTCCTCACTATCACAAGAACAGCATGGGGAAACTGCCCCCATGATAAATCACCTCCCACCAGACGCCTCCTTCGACACATGGCGATTACAATTCAACATGAGATTTGGGGGGGACACAGAGCCAAACCATATTACTTAGTTTGAGTACTCAGAGAACAGACTCTGTGACAGAAATTTACGTGTAGTAGTTTTCTTAAAGGTTGCTCCTAGGAACAAGATTTGTAAGGAAGTGAAGGAAGCAGAATTAGGCAGAAATGGAAACTGAACTGTTACAGACAACAGGGGACTGAGAAAATCACACAGGAAGTCCAAGAGCTGAGGTTACCCCTCATATGTGCCTGGAATTGAGGCAAAAGGGCTGAGTCCCTGAAACCCCATATTGACTAGTCATTGGATAGCAGGGTTGTTCCCAAAGAAAGGGCATGACCTTTTTAAGGCAGGTCCCTTTGGATAAAAACAATCGGTAGAGAGGTATTCAACTCTAAGCTAAGAGCAGCCAATACTCCTGGCAGCCAAAGTGACCATACAGCAGCCATACCTTCAATTTTAATATGATTCATACTGTGTCTCCTGGTAGACCCATCCCCACTCTGTGGAACAAGAATTCTAGTTGCTCAGAACCTAGAATTTGAGGACAGGAAGCACAAATTATCCCAGTAGACCACCAGGAATGATAAGCGAGGCCACTCCTGCCTCATACTCTGTCAGTTCACAAGTACTGATGTTGGCTGAGGCTTAGTTTCAGGAAATGCAAAAAACCCCAGACTATTATGTCAATTCCATCCTGGACCTGCTCTGAGCCCTAGTGAAAACTAAAATCTTTCAGTCACTTGTAAATGGGTCTGAGCACTATTACTAAGTAATGAGAATTATAAGATGAAACAATTTGTACTATACATTTGAGGGGATGCCCCACCAGTTTGCAGACCATTCTGTAGGTGATGAAATAGACCAATTACGTTTTGTAGAGTTTAAATCACACCACTAGGCATGTCGTGTTCTAGTAAACATTTCCATAGCTTTCTGTAAGTCAGCACACACATACACAGAAACACACACACATACTCATGCACAAACATACACATACACATGCCTCTCTGACACTGCCACTCATTTATCTTGCTTCAAATGGTTTAAATACTGTAAGCTGGCTTTGATTATTCCAAAATCCTAACATTTCCATTGCAATTAGGGACTCCAGTTCTGTAACACCAATTCTATCATCAGCCATAACCCACAGAGGACGGCCACCACTGAGCTTCTCAGTGAAGCTGGTTCCTTTCACGAGAACATTACTTACGGCTGTGGAAAATGGAGTATCCTCTGTGCTTACCTAATACATCCCTCCTGCATGTTCTCCGAGTCTCTTGGTTTCTTCTTCCATTGTCTGCTATAGCAACTCTAGCATTTCTGCTTCTTTAAATGTGTGCCATTGCTTTCTCCAAACTTCTAAGAACCAACTTATTTGCATTTTAATAGCATTTCTTGGGGTCTTTGATGCAGTGTTAAATCCTATATCAGAAGAAAGCATTTCCATATCAATAAACTATCTTATCCAACTAAGTTCTGTTCTCCCTCAATTCAGTTATCCCCAGAATCCAGCCCCACACATATTCTCCAGGCTCTTCCTGAAACACATTAACTAGGTCCTTTCTTTTCTATAGAAAGTCCAGCATTATCCCAGTTGGGTTATGTTAATACAAGAGGAGAGATGGAGGTCAGCATGTGTTGTCTATATCATCTTCCAGAAGATGGTAGAACATTTGTCTTCAACAAGGAAAAGTCGGCCATATCTGCACGCTGAGATTTCAGAGGAATGTGAGGATTCAGGTTTTCAAGTGTTTTGACTCAAATGTCCCCATCCCAAATCTCAGGATTCTATACCTTCTCAATAAGAGTTTTGACCCTGATACAGTAGACTTACAAGGCAAGGAGTAAATATTCTCTGGATCTCTGCTGCCCTCATAAATAAATTTTAGGCCTAATTGTCAGCATGCTCCCTGCTGCATTTACAGAATATGAAACTATTCTAAATTTACCTTTACTCAACTTGACCAATAAACATGGAGATCACTATGGCACTCAACATCTATACATCTACACCCCTGAAATTTTGAACTACTGAAATTCCCTTCTCTGATTCAACTTCCTCCTCCTACAGCTGGATTTACTGATCTTGTTTTACAACCTCAACATAATTTACCGTTAAATTATCCATTCCTAGTCTCATTTCCTTCCCAATCCAGTCTAAACCCTACTTCAACTCCTTTCTTACCAGCTTTCACAAATCTCCTGGCCATCCAAACTTTTACCATAACAAGTTCTCCTATCCTCAACTTTGAAGAACAAAAATACCTGTTTTTCTATTTCTTTCTGCTGGACTATTGCAAACTACTGGAGAAAAATGACATAACAGTAAAGATCACCTACAATAAAATTTATGTTTTTCAACTTTAGTAGTCTTCAATGTTTTCCACCCATTATTTTACTTATCATTATTGCATAATTCTCTTTGTCAACGGAACAAAGTTGTTTCAAACCAAATCTAGTATGATTAAGCATTTGTTCCCAATTGATAATCTAACTCCCTTCTTTGAAAAAAAAACAAACAAACAAACAAAACTTGAGTCCATCTGATATTTTCTCCTTCATTTTACCTCGTACATGTAAACTATAACATCATCAGTACTATCTTCCTCAGTAAGAAAAGGTGATGCTTATTTACTTTTTTACACCAATACCTTCATCTATGATTTCTGTTTAGGAGCTTTCTAACAACAACAATAATAATAGCTGTTGTGTATCTCATGTTTACCACATGCCACTGGACTAAGCACTTTAAAGTACTGTAACACCTAATCTTCACAACAACCCTAAATTATCCCTCTTTAAGTAAGTGACAAAACTGAAGTTTGTCCAGGTCCACAGAACTAATAAAAATATTTTTATAAATATCTATTATAAATTCAAGTTTCAAACTCTAGTGGTCTGGTACCAGATCACACATGATTAGCACTGACTGATAATGTCTCCTCTATTGCTTATCCCCAATCTATTCCCAACCTCTTATTCCTTCTGTTTCATCTCTAAACATGCTCAAGTATTTTATCTGAAAACTACCTGTCCTTGGTTTTAATTTCCCTTCAAGTCACCACACCAACTTTTTCCACTCCTTTATCATCAAGCTTCTAGAAAAATAAGATAATACATACTTTTTGCCTCCATATTCTCATCTCCAGTTCATTCATCAACACTCTATAGTCTGCTTTAATTTCTCATCAGTCTAGTAAAATTGTCAATGATCACTTTCTTAAAAACAAGTAGCCTTTTGTCAACCCCATGCTTCTCAACCTCTCTGCAGTATTTGGTTCTCCTCTCATTCTAGATCTCTTTCTTTTGACTCATGATATCATTCTCTTTGGCTTTCCTAACTTCTTATGTTCACTACCTCTCAGTCTTATATGTTGCTCTACATATTTTACTAAAATATTGGCCTCCTTGCCCTTCTCTCCCATTATGCCTCTCCCTGATGCACCCCAGTAAAACATTTAAAGAGCTGATCACTGCCCTGAAAAAGCTTATTAACCAGTTCACTGAATAGTATATGTAATACTCCAAACACATTTACAGAACCTGGGTGACCAGGCATAAATCACTTGCAAAGTATTATGGTACATTAAGTGTTTGAGGAAGCACAGGATAAAAGATTCAATTGTTAGAATAATTCATAAAGGTATACTTAGTTGTTGAAGAAACTATGAAGAATATATTCTCTCTCATCTACTTAACTTGGAAAAGATGGTAATTTATGTTCCCCCATTCTCAAAGAGAGCCAAAGAAAATCATTCAGCAAGATGCTTTAGTTATCAATCCTGTGTGTTTAATGACCCTTCAGTTATTTTAACTTAGTCATCTATGAAATCATGAATGTCTCATTAAGTTCAAATTCAGTCTTTACCATCACTTTGAACATATCCACATCACAACTAATTGAATTATACTTGCTCAGCTTTCATCAAACACTAAAATGGATAGATTTGAAGATAGCTAAATATTCTTTCAATGAATGACACATTAATGCGCTCAAGCTGTTCTACGGATGCCACATGCTTCTTTTCCTTCTCACGCCCCACCACATAGTGTCATAGTCATCCAGAGTTGATGTCACATTGAGTTAATTCAAATCCCTTTATGGCTTCTTGTTAGCAATTCAACCTTTGGTTCATTACTTGAACTGAGTCTTCATTTCCTCATACATATGGTGGAAAAAATTATACACACATAGGAATCAGAACATTGCTGTGAGAATCAACGAGGCAATTTATGTGAAATCTTGACCCAAAGAGGTTGGTCAAAAAATGTTGATTCTCTCGTTTCCTTCCATCTCCACTGCAAATTGAGAATTTTTTTTGCCTATTCCTCCCATACATTGTGTAGAAAATAGAGGGGATAGAGCAAAGAAAGCATTAATTTTGAAAAAAGAAATTTTAAATTAGGTTGTTTCCAATTTGTTGGCATTATGAATGTGCGGCAATATGCCTTGCACCTCTCTCTAGCATATTGTGTTTGACATTCCCAAGGAAACTTAAATACGTATATCTTCTATTGAAGTCATTGTGTGTTATCACTGTAAGAGTTATGATAGAAATAATTACAAAGATATTGCCAATCTATCACTGTGATGGCTCTGCACACTTTCCTGCTGCTTATTATCTCTTTTCTGTTCTATTTAAAGAAATATTACTTGGTTCTTTTTACCATAGAGAAGATAGTGATACTTAAAAATCTGAGTGGAAAAATACGCAAGGAAAATTATGCATATGTCAATTCAGCAAACATTAAAATATGGAAGAAAATATAAGCATTATGGGAGTCCACATAAAATACGGAAAACACCTTTGCAGGTAAAATAGTTAAGTTACCAATATATCCCGAAACCCAATAACAATAAGATGGTGTTATGGAAAGGGGTTAAAATTAAGAGACACCAAAAAGCTCTAAGATAGGCCAGGGTTAATATAATGACAGAATATAGTGCTTCTTGGGGGAAAATGAATGTATTTTCTTTTATTGTCCACTGAAAACGGCCATACAGGACATGCTGCAGAAACAGAGATGTCCGTTTTTCTAGAAGACAAAGAAATGGATTTGAAGGAGATCAATATTGCTTGAAGAGCAGAGAAAACATGTAACTTATAATACCAATTCCAATTGGGATTCATTCCAAAGCTGAAGGAAGTGGTAAATGTTAAGAAAAATCTCTATCAGCTATATGTCATGTTTTCCTATAAATTGGGGTGGGACCTACAAGCTACAGAAGAATGAATGTAGCTCTATATAGAAAAGAACCATTAAAAACCATAATGAAGGTATTTTATTTTCAGAGAGCAGTAGTCTTTTAGAATGTGCTAGAATTTTTTTCCTCTGACCCATTTTATCTCACAGGTTTCAGTTTTTGGCTCTAAACTGTATATCTCCTCAGCAATTTCTAAATTTTTAAAGCTAAGATTGCTTTGCATTAAGCTGCTTTGGCAAAGCCCATAATGAGAATTTTAAATCTGAGCAAAATTTCTTGAAGTTCTAAATGATGCCATCAAAGAGAACATTCACCATATGGAACCAGTGATTGATCTAAAGACTGGAGTCTGGCTTTTAATCTCTTGTTTTCCAGCAAAGAGAAATTTTGTAGAATCTTCTCTCTGCATAAAGACTTAAACTAAAATAGGTAGTTAAAATGGAAGGAATATATATACCTCATGTATATTTACAGAATGGAAAGTAGTACATTGTTAGCCATATCCCAATAAAGAGGCAAGGCTCTCTAAAGAGAATGTGAATTCCTCCTAATTGGAGTTCCTGTTCTGTTACGACTCCCATGTTCACTGCTGGATAGAGGGCAGTCCCAACAAATGCCATGTCCCTAAATGATGGCCTCTGTCTGAGCCTAAGATTGTTCACTAATGTTTATGATTTCCTCTGATTCTTGGAGACACTTGTAAATGTATTTCGCACCTCCCTTCCATCTCAGCAAGGCTTCTTCTTTACTGTCTCCCTTTCCCTATATACCAGCTGAGTAGAAAGGATGCTGAAAATAGAGAAGAAGGCAGAGGCATAACTAAAAAGAGCCTACATGTCTGATTTATCTCAGGGACATTAGGCATTTGTGTGAGCAATAAATTTGCATTGCGTTAAGCCACTACAATGTTGGGTTTACTAGTGTAGTTAGCCTGACACTGTAACACCATGTCTCATTCAGGATCTTGCACATACAGAGTCAATTCAGCAAAGAGGAAATTGTGGAATGCAGACATAGTTATTTCAGATAACTTCATGAATAAAGTCTCTGTCTGATGTGGGTTTAAAGTTTTTAAATGTTCCTAGTGAAAGCACTGACCAACCCTGTCATTAGTGTCTGTGATGATTAAGTTTATGTGTCAACTTGGCTAGGTCATGATACCAAGATATATGGTCAAACACATTTGGATGTTGCTGTGAAAGCATTTTTCAGATGAGATTAACATTTAAATCATAGACTTTGAGTAAAGTGGACTAACCTCCATTATGTAGATGGGCCTCATCTCATCAGTTAAAGCCCTTAAGCAAATGACTGACCTATCCTGAACAAGAGAAAATTCTGACAGAAGACTGCTTTGGGATTTGAGCTGCAGCATCAACTCATCCTTGGGTTCCCAGGATGTCTAAAGACTAAGAATTTTTTAAAAATCTTTTTCTCTCTCTCTCTCTGTGTGTGTGTGTGTGTGTGCACGCGCGCATCTGTTGCTTTTGTTCATCTGGAGAACCCTTACTTCTAAAGTGTCTATTTTAAAATAAAGAGGTAGACCATAAAAGAGATCCAGTATGAAGACAATAACCATTGTCAATTAGCCAATGTCAAGTAAAATGGCATCCTAGGTTGATTCTGGATTTAGTACACTTGACATGGAAATATGTTTAAGTATTCTTCATGAGTCCTACTACTGCTTTTGTATCCTAAATATCTCTTATCTTTTCAATTATAACTATAAACAACAATGAGTGAAACAAAAAAGACTTTCATAGAAGGTTCCATTGGAAAAACATATGCACATGAGCTAACAGTAATTAACCAATTTGAAAATTATTTATAGGACATATTCCCTTATTGGGCCTGTGTTAGACATGGCGGTAAGAAAACTGATGGAAACCTGGGTCCTTCCTACCTATGACAAATCATATTTTCCAAAAATAGCAGCAATAATGCCAACAAACCAATATGCTCTTCTTACTATATGACTTTGATATTTCTCCAATCCAAAGGTAGAGTCTATGCCTCCTATACCTCTGTGGGATTTTGCCTCAAGAAATACAGTATGTTAGAAGGGATGCAATCTCAAAACAAGGCCATAATAATGCCATGTTCTTCTGCCTTGCTGTCTTGAGACACTTGGTCTGGGGGAAGTCAGATGCCATATAAGCAGTCCAATAATCCCAAACAGGTCAACCTGGAGGCAGTGCAGAGCGATCCTATAAATATGTGGAGAGAGAAAGAGTAGGGGGAGAGGGAATAACACAAGAGCAAGAACAAGGGAATCAGCTCCCAGCTTCTCCAACCCCCTATATTTCAGCTCCATCCACTATCTGACTAAACCACATAAGAGACTATTGAATTGTGTCCCTTCTCATTCTTATGTAGAAGCCCTAACCCCCAAAGCAACTATATCTGGAGATAGGGTCTTTAAGGGGGTAATTAGGATTAAATGAGGTAATAAGAGTGGGGCTCTAGTCCAATAGATTTGGTGTCCATACAAGAAGAGAAAGAGATATCAGAGACCTTTCTCTCGCCACACATGTACAGAAGAAAGGCCAAAGAAGAAAGTAAGAAGTTAGTGTCTGCAAGCCAGAAAAAGAGGCCTCACAAGAAACCAATCCTGCTGGCACCTTAATCTTGGACTTCTTGTTATGGCAGCCCAAGAAGACTATTACAAAGACTTTAAGCAAGAACCATCCAGCCAAGCCCTCCCCTAATTCCTGACTCACAAAACTATGCAAAATAATCAAACAGTGATTCTCATTTTAGGTCACTAAGTTTTTCTGTGATTTGTAACACAGCAATGGATCATTGGAACGCCACCCTTGAGGTGCTTATTGTTTATCAGGGGAGATAAAACACATAACTAATTATATATCAAAGTGCTATGGTACTTATGTATCAAATTCTATGAGTGAGGAGGTAAAAAAACAGAAGACAGAAGGTTTTTGAACTGGAAATTATTTAATATTAAATAATTGACCAGAGTGGTTAGACTAGAATGATGGAACCTTAGATGGGTTCAAAGTGGGAGAAGAGAAACATCACTGAAGAGTCACTTGGGTAATGCCATGGTCCAAACTGTGTTTTCCTAAAATTTGTATGTTGAAGTCTTAACCCTTCATGTGATTGTATTGGAAATAGAGTCATGAAAGTGATAATGTTACATGAGGTCATAATGGTAGAGCCCTGAACAAATAGAACTGGTATCCTTATAATTAGAGGAAGAGACACCAGAACTCTCTCTCCACCATGTGAAGACACAGCAAGAAGGCAGCCATCTACAAGCCAGACAAGATCTCTCACCAGAATCTACCCATGCTGCCACCTTGATGTTGGAATTCTAGCCTCCAGAACTGTGAAGAAATAAATTTCTGTTGCTTAAGCCACGCTATCTATGGAATTTTGTTATGACAGCCCAAGCTGACTAATACAGGTGACTTCACAATTTTTTCAGTGTTTAATTAGATTGGGTATCAAATCCTTAGTGGATGTGAAGAAAAATAAAAATATATGTAAAATTTGTTTTATTAACACAACAGTTTATGAGCAACCCCAAGGCAAGAATTATGTTCACTGAAGTATCTCCAGCACCTAGATTATGGACTGTATCTGAGCTGTATTAATTGCTAAAGGAAAGGAGAAAGGGAGGAAAAGGAGGTAGAAAACTGAATCTTGCAGTGATACAGAACTTACTACCACCTAGTAGAATCTCTAAGAAAGGAGCCATCTGGAAAAAAGTAGGCCAGGCGCAGAGGCTCATTGGGAGGCCAAGGCAGGTGGATCACCTGAGGTCAGGAGTTCAAGACCAGTCTGACCAACATGGAGAAACCTGACTCTACCAAAAATACAAAATTAGCCGGGTGTGGTGGCACATGCCTGTAATCCCAGCTACTCAGGAGGCTGAGGCAGGAGAATCACTTGAACCCGGGAGGTGGAGGTTGCAGTGAGCTGAGATCACGCCATTGCACTCCAGCCTGGGCAACAAGAGTGAGACTCTGTCTCAAAAAAAAAAAAAAAAAAAAAAGAAAGAAAGAGGAAGTAGAACAGATCAAGTGATAGACTGGAACATGCCGAACATATACACCATGGAATACTATGCAGCCGTAAAAAAGGATGAGTTCATGTCCTTTGTAGGGACATGGATGAAGCTGGAAACCATCATTCTCAGCAAACTATCACAAGGACAGAAAACCAAACACCGCATGTTCTCACTCATAGGTGGGAACTGAACAATGAAAACACTTGGATACAGGATGGGAAACATCACACACCAGGGACTGTTGTGGGGTGGGGGAATGGGGAAGGGATAGCATTAGGAGATATACCTAATGTAAATGACGAGTTAACGGGTGCAGCACACCAACATGGCACATGTATACATATGTAACAAACCTGCACATTGTACACATGTACCCTAGAACTTAAAGTATAATAATAAAAATATATATAAAAAGATATTGAATAAGAAAAAAATAAAAATTACATTCATAATGGCCAAAAAAAAAAAAAAAAGAATGGAACATGCCAAAATGGAGAAAGCCTCTATGAGTCATTGGCTTAACCAGTGTAGGCATATGCAAAAGGCTGGTTTTATTTGTGCCTATGCTTTAGCCTGCTCATTTTCAAAAATCTCTTCCTACTCATTATTCCCTAAAAATTATTCAGTGCTGATAGAACTATTTGTTGTGACCAACCTGGGCTGCATGGCCTCCCACTAGTTCCTGCCTCGTTTTTCATCCTCCAACAGCTCTTTCTCTGTTGGCTTCAGTGTTTCTCCGTAAGCTTCCCTGTACTTACTGTTCAGTTCTTAAATGTTAATCCACATCTAGTTTTGGACACTTTCAAATGTAAAGAGTGTAAAGAAATGCACCACACTCAAGTGTTGTTAAAAGAGTTTAAAACTTGTTAAAGACTAACTACATGCAAAATAATCACTAAAAGAGAAAGGCCATTAATTGTGGACTTAAGAATTCAAAGACTGGTGTAAAGCAGGAAATGAAAGATAAGCAGAAGGGTATATAACCAAAGGAATATAAATCATGCTGCTATAAAGACACATGCACACATATGTTTATTGCAGCACTATTCACAATAGCAAAGACTTGGAACCAACCCAAATGTCCAACAATGATAGACTGGATTAAGAAAATGTGGCACATATACACCATGGAATACTATGCAGCCATAAAAAATGATGAGTTCATGTCTTTTGTAGGGACACGGATGAAGCTGGAAACCATCATTCTCAGCAAACTATTGCAAGGACAAAAAAACCAAACACCGTATATTCTCACTCATAGGTGGGAATTGAACAATGAGAATACATGGACACAGGAAGGGGAACATCACACACCGGGGCCTGTTGTGGGGTGGGGGTAGGGGGGAGGGATAGCATTAGGAGATATACCTAATGTAAATGATGAGTTAATGGGTGCAGCACACCAACATGGCACATGTATACATATGTAACAAACCTGTACGTTGTGCACATGTACACATATGTAACAAACCTGTACGTTGTGCACATGTACCCTAGAACTTAAAGTATAATAAAAAATATATATTAAAAAAAGAAAGATAAGCAGAAATAGAAAATCAAGTCCAAGATCTCACAGTACAACATTTTTCTTTGTCTTTGTGATTGTAAGCACTTATTTATAAGAAGCAGTTTCTTTAGTGAACTTACTCGAGGCCCAATTTTCACCTGGTCTTTTGATTATAATCTAGTGCCAAGATAGGAAGATAGACCAGGCCAACTCTTAATGACCCTGTTCTGGTCCTTTCATTCCACAGCCCTAGGACAGATTTGGCCTGACTAGTTTGATTGCATATAGGGTTTCATAGGAAGACAAATTGAACTGAAACTTCAGTTCCCTTTAACCTGAATATCACTTTGTAGTGGTTTGCTATTTAATCTCATGTGTAACTTGAGCAGTCATACTCCACGGTTTCTCCAAAAGGGAGTTACTGTTTAATGAAATGGGACTAGGTTTCCAAATTTGCTTTTTACATAGACACGTATTTCCTTACGGGTCTTTTATTGGATCATAGCAGCAGTGGAGCCTACTGAAATGTGAATTATATATGAGGGATACATCCTTATTTCTGAATGCAATTCAATTCCAAATGTGTGCTAAGAGGTGAGTCCTAGTAGGATGAGCAACATCAGCAAGACTGTTGACTAGAGGTAACTGGTGCTCATCCTCCCACAAAAACAAAACAACAAGTAAACAACTAAAATTCAACTAGAGTCTCCGAAAGAGAGTACTGCTGTACAGCGATGAACTGGTGAAATCACTGTGGTGCACATAAACCCATGACAGCAGTAAGGAGAGGGAAACAAAGCATCCCATCTCTGCTCCCTCGTATCCCCCATAAGGATTATTTAAGAGCCAGGAGAGACTTCCTCATGCAGGGAAGAAGTAAACAGAGGACCCCCCAAAAGCCTCCACCGTGACTTCAGATACCTGCAGTCCTTGCTTCAGAAGAATCCAGCAGTCATCACAGACACTGAGCATAATTTAGGGAGCTGCCTTGAAATCATGTAGCTGCATTGCTCCAGAGTAGGGGCCCAAGTTGAGCACCTCCCTCACCCTCAGTGACTGTAAGTGCCACTGCATGGTGCAATCTTGAAATCAGAGCCACTGCTAGACTCTGGCCTTTGGATTCTGGGCTCAGCAAAACAGCCATGACTATGTTGCCCAAATCCACAGAATGCCCTACCCCTAAGGAATAGGCAGTCCTGCACAGTGTGGAAACCAAACACAGGCCAGCTGAACACATGAAAGTATAAAAGTAAAAGTATAAAACTCACTAGTAAAGGTAATTTCATAATCAAACTCAGAATAAAACAATACTGTAATGGTGCTATGTGAATCCTTCAAACCTCTAGTATAAATGTTAAGAGTGAAAAGTCTCAAATATAACTAAGCTACAATTACTTGTTAAAGAACACACAATATATACAAAGGTATAAATTAAGGCAATAAAAATATAAATTGAGGGGGAGAGTAGAAGTCTAGAGTATTTTTAGATGACCAAAGTTTAAGTTGTCATCAGCTTAAATAGTATATTATAACAAGATTCTTTATGTTAATCCTGTTGTAACCACAAAGACATTGGAGCAGACACATAAATGAGAAAGATAAAAGAGTCAAATAACTAACATCAATTATTCTCAAACTATTCCAGAAAATTGAAGAAGAAAGTACTCCTAAAATTATTCTACAAGCGCACTGTTACCCTGATGCCAAAACCAGAGAAGGACACACACACAAAAAGAGAGCTATAGGCCAGTATTACTAATGAACATAGATGCAAAAATCTTCAACAAGTTGCTAGCAAACCAAGTTCAACAGCACATTTAAAGGATCATCCACCATGATAAGATGGAATTCATCCCAAGGATGCAAGGATGGTTTAGAACATGCAAATCAAGAAATGTGATATACCATATTTACAGAAAGGAGGACAAAAATCATATGATCATTTCAATAGATGCAGAAAAATGCATGTGATAAAATCCAACATCTCTTCATAATAGAAACTCAGCAAATTAGGTATAGAAGGCACATACCTCAACACCATAAAGGCTATATATGAAAAATCCACAGCTAAATCATAGTAATCAGGGAAAAATTGAAAGCTTTTCCTCTAAGATCTGGAAGAAGGCAAGTATGCCCACTTTCACCACTTCTATTCTACACAGTACTGGAAGTCTTAGAGCAATTAGACGAGAGAAAAAAAATAGAGGCATTTGAATGGGAAAGTAGGAAATCAAACTGTCTCTGTTTACAGATATGATTTAATAAATACAAAACCTTAAAGACTCCACTAGAAAAACTGTTAGAACTAACACACAAATTCAGTAAAGTTGCAGGATATAAAATCAACATGCAAAAATCAGTAGTATTTCTGTACCTGAGTAATGAACTATCTGAAAAAGAAATCAAGAAAACAATTCCATTTACAAAAGATTTAAAAAAAACAAGATACCTAGGAACAAGTTTAACCAAGGAGGGGAAAGATCTCTACAATGAAATCTATAAAACATTGATGAAAAAATTGAAGAGGACACAAATAAATGGAAATATATCCAGTGTTCATTGATTGGGAGAATTAATATTGCTAAAGCGTCCACACTACCCAAAACAATCTACAGAGTCAATGCAATTCCCACCAAAATACTAGTAACTTTTTACAGAATATACAAAACAATCCTAAAATTCACATGGTACCACAAAAGACTACTAATAGGCAAATCAAATCTTAAGAAAACAAAAGCTGAAGCCATGAAACTACCTGACTTCACAATATACTGCCAAGCTATCATAACCAAAACAATATGGTATTGGCATTTAAAAAGAAACACAGACGACCAGAACAGAATACAGAGTTATGAAATAAGTTCATACATAAACTGTCAATTGATTTTTGACAACCAAGAACACATATTGGGGAAAGAACAGTCTTGTCAGTATATGGTGCTGGGAAAATCATATGTCCACATGCAGAAAAATGAAAATGGACCTCTATATTTTATCATATGCCAAAAATCAACTCAAAATAAATTAAGGACTTAAATGTAAGACCAGGAACTATGAAACCACTAGAAGAAAACCATAACAAAAAGTGCTTCATGACACTGGACTAGTGAAATATCTTTTTTTGGGATGAGGATTCAGAAGCACAGGTAACAGAAGCAAACATAGACAAATGAGACTACATCAAACTAATGAAGCTTTTGCACTGCGATAAAAACATTTAACAGAGTAAAGGTACAACCTACAGAATTAGAGAAAATATTTGCAAACTATACATCTGACAAGGGGTTAATATCCAGAATATAAAAGGAACTCAAACAACTCTATAGCAAATAGACCAATAATTCAATTTTAAATGGGCAAAAGATTTTAAGAGACATTTCTCAAAAAAAAACCACAGCCAACAGGTATATTAAAAATTGCTCAACATCACTAATCATCAGGGAAATGCAAATCAAAACCACAGTGAGATATCATCTTATTCCAGTTGCAATGACTATTATCAAAAAGAAAAAAAGATAACAAGTGTTGGTGAGAATATGGAGAAAAGGGAACCCTTGTACATTGCTGATAGGAATGTAAATTAGCACAGCCATTATGGAAAATAGTAGAGAGATTTCTCAAAAATTTAAAAACAGAACTACCATATGATCCAGCAATGCCACTACTGGGTATATACATCCAAAGTAACTGAAATCAGTGTGTCAAAGAGATATCTTCACTCCAAAGTTTAGTGTGGTACTATTTCCAATAACCAAGATATGGAATCAAACAGTGTCTAATAATGGATGAATGGATAAAGAAAATGTGGTGCATATATATAATATATAAATTTACATAAACATATATATATTGCTTATATAAATTGTATATATTATATAACCATTACCTATAACATATAATAAAATACTACTAATATATACATAAAAATACCATTCTTTCATAAAAAATAATGAAATCCTGTCATCTGTAACATGAGTGAACTTGGAGGACATTACGTTGAATGAAATAAACCTGATAGAGAAAGACAAATACCACATGTTCTCAACTCATATATAGAATCGAAAAAAAGTTGATCTCATAAATAGTGAATATAACAGTGGTTACAGAGACTTGAGAGGGTAAGGGGAAAGGGCAACAGGGAGAAGATAGTAAACGGGTATAGAGTTAGAAAGGAAGAACAAGTTCTGGTGTCCTATTGTGCAGTAGATGTCTACATTCAACAACAAGGTATTGTCTATATCAAAACAGCTAGAAGAGAGGATTTTGTTCTCACCACTAAGAAACTATAAATGGTTGTATATGCTAATTACCCTGATTTGATCATTATACGATGTATACGTGTATCAAAACAACACATTGTACCCTGAAAATATATAAAATTTGTCAATTTTTAAAAATTGAACAAATGATTCAAATAGGCATCTCAAAAATAAAGATATACAGATGGCAAATAAGCACATGAAAATATGCTTAACATCATATATCATTAGTGAATTGCAAATGAAAATGAGAAATCGCTACACTTCTATTAGAATGGCTAAAATAAAAAAATTTAAAAAAACACTGAAAATACCAAATGCTGGAGAGCATGTACAGCAACAGAAACTCTCATTGATTGTTGTTGAGAAGTCATTTTGGAAGAGGTTGATGTTTCACATAAAGTTAAATGTAGTCTTAACCTATGATCTAGCAATCATGCTCCTAGGCATTTACCCAAATAAGTTGAAAATTAATGTTCACACAAATTTTGCACACAAATGTTTATTGCACACTTTTTTTCATTAAAAATGCCAAATTGCCAAACTTGGATGCAAACAAAATACTTTCCATAGATAAATTGCCAAATTGCCAAACTTGGATGCAAACAAAATATTTTTCCATAGATAAATGGATAAACAAACTTCGGCACGTCCATTTAATGAAGTGTTTATTATTCAGAAATAAAAATAAATGAGCTATACAGCTACAAAAGGACATGAAGTAAACTTAAATGCATATTTCTAAGTGAAAGAAGCCAACTTACAAAGATTATATGCTGTATGACTACAGGTATATGACATTCTGGAAAAGACAAAGCTATGGAGACAGTAGAAATAATAATATAATAGCCAGTGTTCTTGCAGGAGGCAAGAAGAGGATGAATTGGTAGAACATAGGATTTTTAGGAAAATGAAACCTCTTTAGGATACTGTAATGGTGGGAACATGACATGTGTTTGTGAAAGCCCATTGAATAGTCAATACATACAGTGTGTACTAATGTAAACGATGGACTTTTGTTAGTTATAATGTGTCAATATTGGATTAATTATATTGCCAATATAATTAATCAATATAATCAATAACAACTGTAACATATGTACCTCACTAATGGAGGATATTAACAATAGCAGAAACTGTGTGGTCTGGGAGGAAAAGTGAGTATTTGGGAATTATATTTTTTGCTGAATTTTTCTGTAAACCTAAAACTTAGCTAAAAAATAAAGTCTATTAATTTTTGTAAAAGTTATTTCTTAAAAAGGGTTGAATCCTGCATTGCAGAATAAACTAGTACATTGATGTTCCCCAGCTACAAGCCACATAAGAACTCTCTGGTCCAGATAAACCCTGACATAAAACAGGATTGAATTATGGATAAGCTATGAAGACATTACTTTCTAGATAGAAGACAAAACCCCTGTGTTTTTGGTTAAGATAAGTGACATCACATCCTCCATGACTGCTGCAGACATGGGAGAGCAGAACTATTCTGACTACAGCTCATCCTCAAAACCAACTTCAAATACAACTGAGCAACATAGATTATAAATATTCACTGAAAATCTGAATGAGAATAAAAGGTGGCTCAAATTGGCTCAAAAGGTAAAGAATTTTTCTTACAAAATTGTACTAGACACAACTATAATTTTAATTTTTTCACAAATCCTAAAACACAATTGGATTTTCTAATGCTTACAGAGTATAAAATAATCTATAATCTGATAGATTGAATGCTAATCATTTCAAAGTTCAATCTCTGACAGGAATGTTTTAACATGCAACCTACTGGGTGCTGCTTCTAGTTTACGATTATTTTTATTCTTGAGAAGATTTGAAACTGGAATTGCCATGAATTTGTGTTTATATCTCTAATGAAGTTAGATTTTAGCTTGTGGAAAAAATAATTTCTAGGCTCTGATGACTTCACATGGCTTTAGCCTATTTCTGTAGCACTGATATGCTAGTTTGATAGTAGTTCCATTGCAAGTCTGTGGCTCCAGATTTCATGTTTTCCCTGGCATCAGTTGGACTTATTAAACAGCACTCTGCTTTTGTGCATTCCAGCATTTCTCTGCAACTTACATGGCAAAGCTGCTCACTCACACCACATCTTTGCTGCTCACATCCTATTCCCTGACAACCTGTGAATAACGAGTGAGTCTTCACTGGGTGATTGCTTTGTGAAGAGAAATGAATAGTTTACCTGATAATCATGGTCATCTATCAGACTATGCATTTTCCCCTAATAAGTGATTTTGCTATGCTTTGCTAAACTTATGCTGAATTTTTCATGAGCTGGATGAGTGCATTCTGGCATCTGTTTATAATGTCAACTAACATTTTTTTATGAAATGAAACCTTGGGACATGAGAACAGGAAAACTGGGTGTTTAAAAAGATATATTACCTTTCAGAATGGGGGCTCTCTGTGCCTGAATTATAAAAAGGTCTCCAGGGGTTTCACAGTAACTCACTGTTTTCAAATCTTTTGCTCAAATGATCACATGCTGCTCAGTATATTGTGCATCATTTGCACACTTTTTGGAAGATCAATTTGTACTTAGTGCTTTGAAAGATGGGAGTCACAGGAGTTGAGTACCTATATTCAAGTATTCTCAATGAGTGACACCTGAAAAATTGAGCACTATAATCTCCTATTTAAAAACTGAGCTTGAAACCTTAGGAAGCAAGCTAACTTGCTAGTCTCTGAGAATATCAAAGTCATAAAAGATTATTTTATTCACTGAGTGATTACTACTGAGAAATGGAACATTAAATGGAAAAATAATCTAGAGCAGGGAATTTTAAATAATTATCTTATAAAATAATACCAGCTACTTACACAGTTCTAAGAAAATTTTAATAGCGTAAACATATCATTTAAATAATAACATATATTATTAAAATATCATTTAAATAATCTAAATAAATAATCATTTAAATAATAACTTGCAGTTTCAAAGGTACTGCTGTGATGATCAAGTTTAATATATTTTTTAATTATCTGAAATTCAAAGTTTTATTTTTTTTTTAAATTAACCTAGAATAACTTTTAACTTCCGGAAGCTTAGTAGAAGCAAAATGGAGGTAAATTAATTTCGTTTGAATATCAACTAAAGTTATTTTTTAGTTTTGTTTTCAATGTATAATAATCATTTTGGCTTCTGCCATTTAAAAATTCTGGAATATAGTGCAACTGAAGTATCGTAATTGAGTTTTAGACTAAAATGTGAAGACATGAAAAGAAGAGATAATGTCTCGTGTAAATATGTGTCACCAGTACCTAGCACAATGTTTGGCATATAGTAGGCACTCAACTAACATTTGTGTGAACATTTGGCAACTGCAAATTAATAGAAATATACAATTTTCCACTATCAGTGAAAAGGGAAAATTGATAGGAATTAGGTTATGACAAGGCTTAGTTCAAAAAAAGATTAGAGTAAAAGATGAGCCAAATTTAGTATAATACAAATAATAACAATGCTTGTCACAATGTGAAAATAAAATCTTGCTTTTTGCAAAAATTTTGAGGTTTAGCTTAGAAAATGATAATTATGAAATTTGTATAGTGTTTTATAATTTATTAAATAATTCCATATTTTCATATTTGCTCTTCTTTCCTGGGATTTGAATATTAATATTTTTGTTTTATTTATTCTATTTAATTGAAAGATAGCATGGAATACAGGAACGTGCATAAAGCACTCTCATCTTAAGTAAAGAATGATATTTTTTACATATATATGTATATGCCTGAGTAAAAATCAAGATATAAAGGCTGGGTGCAGTGGCTCACGCCTGTAATCCCAGCACTTTGGAAGGCCGAGGTAGGCGGATCACGAGGTCAAGAGATCGAGACCATCATAGCCAACATGGTGAAACCTCATCTCTACTAAAAATACAAAAATTAGCTGGGCATGGTGGTACACGCCTGTAATCCCAGCTACTAGAGAGGCTGAGGTAAGAGAATCACTTGAACCTGGGAGGTGGAGGTTGCAGTGAGCCGAGCTCATGCCACTGCACTCCAGCCTGGCAACAGAGCAAGATTCCATCTCAAAAAAAAAAAAAATAATAATTCACAGAATAAAGATGTCTTTGTGCCAGACTACTTTCCCTCAGTATTACATAACATCTATGAGTTCAATCCATTTTGTTACATATACCAGAGTTGGTCATTTTTTACTGTTGCACACCACTTAAGAAACAAACATTTGTTTCTTTATTCACCTGTTGATAGACATCTGGTTGTTTTCAGTTTTGTGCTATTATGAATAAAACTGCTATGAACATTTTGAACATATATTTTGTTGACGTGCATTTATTTGCTTTTTTGTATGTAACTAGGAGTGAAATTGCTTGGCCATATATTACATATGTATTTAGTAAAAGATGTTATACAATTTTCCAAAGTGGTTATACAATTTTAAATTCCTACTAGCAACATATGTTTAATTTGCTCCATTTACTTGTCAACGCTTTATATTGTCAGTCTTTTTTATTTTAACCATCTAGTAGATATGTCACAGCATTTCATTTTAGATTATCCCCATTTTAAAAATAGGAAAACTAAATTCAGATCAATTACATGTCTTTCCCATAATTGCATATGTAGCAGAAGCTACAACCTCTATTTTGGTTTCTGATTCTATATTCATTTATTTGCTTTTCTTATTACTCACTCCTGTTTTTCTTTATTTCACTCCTTTCCTTCTGTCTTCACTTGTCTTTGTAATTTTCATTACAAAATATTTCAAACATACAGAAAAGTACAGAGAAGAGTATAAGAAATATCCATATATCCATAACTTAGATTCAACATGTTATATTTAATTTGTGTAGTTTTTTGGTTAAACATTTAAAATTAAAAGTAAATCATACAGATCATGACATTTCACACTAAATTTATTATGATATTTTATTATGTGAAATGAAGGAATTATCATAATTAAACAATAAACCATAAATTCTACTATTATCTAACACCCACTCTCTAATCAAATTTTTTCAATCATTATAAGAATGTCTTTTATAGCTATTTTGTACACAATAAGAATTAAAGACCATGAATTCATTTTACTACTACTATGTGATACTTTTAAGAATTGAAATTTTATTGTTATCATCAATGTTGCTATTTAGTAAAGTATTATATTAAGCATATATAAGGTTCTTCTCTTCTTAAACACTTTTTAAAGTTTAAGTATTAAAGAACATAGCACAGCTAAATATTTTGTTAAGTATTTACTTGACATTTAAACTCTCCAATGTGCTATACACTGGATAGAGTGCAAGACAGTAGATACTGCACCAAAATACTAAATATTTTTTAAAAACAAAAGAAACAAAAAATCCAGAGATGCTTAGACAAAAGAATATGAAAATTTCAAGTGATATTGGGCAAAAGAATTCGTAAATTAAAAAAACTAATTTTGGTCTTACTTCTCTAAAAGCATTACTATTAACTATCAGTCTTTTTTTCTCACATATAATTTCCATTCTCAGTAAGAATGAGTTAACCTTTTATTGCTACTATTATTACTAGTGAGAGGAACACCAGATGAAAGGAGTCTATATTCATTTTGAATATAAAATCAAATAAACCATGAACATCTTTCTCAGTGCAAAATTGCATTAGATTTTTCTTGTTGCTCCAATTAAAATTAGAGTTTGGTAAAATGTTTATGACATATCTAGAGCAAATATGCGCAATAAAAATTTACCATATTCTTTTGTATCTATTTCCTATAAAAGCTTGGGCCACTGAGTATGCTGGGAAGAATGGCCCAGATGTTCATAAAATATCAAAGGGCTGACCAGCTAGTTTGAGACTGCGATTTTTTTTTTTTTTCTCAGACAGGGCCTTGTTCTGTCATCCAGGCTAGAATGCCATGGCGGATCTCATCTCGGCTCTTAAGCCATCCTGCCACCTCATCCTCCCTCCTCAGCCTCCAGAATAGCTAGGACTACAGATGCCCACCAACACACTCGGCTAAACCTTTTTTTGTTTTGGTAGAGATGGGGTTCCACTATATTGCCCAGGCTGGTCTCCAACACATAAGCTCAAGTGATCTGCCATCACTGGCCTCCCAAAGTGCTGGGATTACAGGCCTGTGCCTGCGCCACTGGCCTGTCCAAGGCTGTGCTATTTTTTATTGACTACCACATATCACTGCTCAATTACTCTGGAGTTATTCAGATTTGCACAATCCTTACCTTGAAAAGAAAAAAAAATCAAGGATTCCTACTTGCTGGAAAGTTTTCTTCTGAATATAAGACAAAAATGAAGATGGTTTCTTCTTAAGAAGGAATTACTCGTGGCCCTTTTGACGTTTTAACAACACATCTGACAGCTATCTCTGTAAAGTATTGCCAATCAGTTTTCTCAACCATTTCTCTTTTCTAGAGGACATACCAGGAGCACAACAGGGACCACCCTTTCTAAATAGAGGAAGTGAGCACTCTGTTGAGGGTTATTAGGCAAACAGGCGTTGACTCTCACAAGCTGATTCAGTCCTTGATATGAACACAAGAAAGGCCAGGAGACTATTCCAACAGCTGGAAACGAGTGCAGAAAGCAATTGTTTTACTTGTAAGGGTAATTGGTTCTCCCCTGATGTTCAACATGTTGGTGAGAATATTTTTCAGGGGGTGCAGGGGATGTGTGTCAGGATATGAACTTTATTGAGCTTATCGACCAGAGTAAAAGTAAAGTCTTAAAGTCAGTAAAAACTAAATATTTATTGCTAAGACTTTCGCATAGCAATTAAACTCTTAACAGATTTTTTAAACAATCAATTCAATTAAAACCCACTACTTCAGAATCAATAGCTTGTTTGAAGCCACAGTAATACCTAACTATGTTTAAGACTCAAATGCATAAATTTGTTGGCTGGAAAGCTCCCAAATTGCCAAAACGTAATTCAAAAAAATAAAAGGGTAAAAAAATACAGTCCACTGACGTCAACATTGGACGGCTGTTAGAATAGTTAGTCTTGAATTGAATATTTATTTAGGTAACAAGGAATCCAGTCAACTGCTGACCGTCCTTTCTTCAGAATCAGTTTTGAGGATGTGAGGAATTACATGCCACTGGCAGTAATTCACTCAGATGAGAGTCCAATTCTTCCTCTCCATGAACAGCAAGATGCCAGTGAGAATGGGTAACACTGACAAATGGTTTTTAGAAGCCTTTTCCTCACTCCCAGCTTCTCAGTGATGAGGGGTTCCAGTAGGCTTACGCCATTCCCAATAGCACCCACACTTCTGTGACTGGATGTACCGGATTTCCGGTGTCGGTCAGCATGGCCTTGCATGGACTGCACGTTGGCTCTGGCAGGGAAGCCACTCTCTGTCTTGGCTTTCACACTAGCAAGGCAGAGAAAGTGCGCGTCAAACACCGCCAGAGACCCCATTGCTTCTCATGCCGCTCCACCATTCACATGCCTGCCTCCAGCCTTCCTACTCATTTCCCACTAGAACTGAGTTTTGTTGGGAGAAACAGGAAGAGAACTCAAGGGACTGTTGTGGGGTGGGGGGAGGGGGAAAGGATAGCTTTAGGAGATATACCTAATGCTAAATGACGAGTTAATGGGTGCAGCACACCAACATGGCACATGTATACATATGTAACAAACCTGCACGTTGTGCACATGTACCCTAAAACTTAAAGTATAATAAAAAAAAAAAAGGAGTAGCCAAACCACAGGTTTGAGGCATTTATACAGATATATATTTTCCTTTTCCCAAAGTGCTAATATTTTTACCTATGAATTTGCTATTATGCTGCCCTTAAATTATGGAATTTCTGCTAAACATAAGGAGAATAAAATTCTTTAGTGCATGGTGTTTGCTTATTGAGAATGACTTTTGGAATTGAGAAGCTCTATTTACAGTGATGTGACAGTTCAGCAACAGAAATACGTAGGAAAGCAAGTTGGCACAGAATCTGTTAAAAAAGGTTACTGTGTTAAAAGTGAAACTTTGGAGATGTTGAAGTTGAAGTTTAATAAAATATTATGGGACTTTTGTTTAAAATCTCTCAATTCAGTTCAAGGCAATAAGGAGAATAAGAAATATAAACAAAATACTATCTTTAAACTAGAGAGTATAACAATCCAGGACTAGGAACACCCACTTGGACAAATATTTAAGTGAGAAATAAAATTCTCTTAGGTTTGAGATATTATTTCAGTTTAGCACATGTATGTCTAATATTGTCATAAAGCTAATAGAGCCTGTATTTCAACAGTAAGACTGATTCTAAAGCTGATATGCTCTCTCCCATTCTTTCCTTTTGTAGCAACCTTTCTAATAATTTTTTAAAACACGTGCTAAAGTTTCTTATAAAAGTAAACATTTACTGAATCTATGACTTAGTGAATCGACTCCTAGGTATTTTCCCAAAAGAAATAAATATACATTCACAAAGGTTTGTATAAGAATGTTCATAGCAGCTTTGTTCATAATAGCCCAAGACAAGAACCAACACAGGTGTCCATCAATAGAATGGATAAATGAACTGTGGTATATACATGCAATGGAATACTACTCAGCAATAAAAACTAACAAACTCATACACTCCAAAACGCAAGTCTCAAAAACATTATATTAGTATACTATATGCTGAAAGAAGCCTTACACAAATCATTAAATATTGTATGACTAAATATCTATTAATTTAGATGAAATTCTAGAACAGGCAAAACTATTCTGTGGTGCATAAAATCAGATTAATAGTTTCTTATGGGGATCGGGGTACAGAGACTAATTGGGAAGAGGAAAAAGGAACTTATCTGGATTGGTGATGATGTTCAATGTCTTCTTAGGGATTTAGGTTACACAGGTGTATGCATTTGTCAAAGGTCATGCAAAGGCACACTTACTGTTTGTGCATTTCTTTATTCGTTAATTTTACATAAAATGTAAGCAAATATAGAACTGTAGTTCATGATATGCATGCTAAAGCCTTTAGAGGGAAAAGTACTAATATATGAAATCTATTTTGAAAAACAAGATGGATTAAGGATACAGAGAGGGATGCGGATTTGGAGATATATATTGTGTCTGGAATTGGTTCCTTTCGGTGGGTTCTTGGTCTCGCTGACTTCAAGAGTGAAGCCGCAGACCCTTGCGGTGAGTGTTAAAGTTTTTAAAGATGGTGTCTGGAGTTTGTTCCTTCAGATGTTCAGATGTGTCTGGAGTTTCTTCCTTCTGGTGGGTTCATGGTCTTGCTGACTTCAGGAATGAAGCTGCAGACCTTCGCAGTGAGTGTTACAGCTCTTAAAGGTGGCGCATCCAGAGTTGTTCATTCCTCCTGGTGGGTTTGTGTTCTCACTGACTTCAGGAGTGAAGCTGCATACCTGAGCGTTACAGCTCTTGAAGGTGGCGCATCCAGAGTTGCTCATTCCTCCCGGTAGGTTCGTGGTCTCACTGACTTCAGGAGTGAAGCTGCAGACCTTCACCGTGAATGCTACAGCTCATAAAGGTAGTGCGGACCCAAAGAGTGAGCAGCATCAAGATTTATTGCAAAGAGCGAAAAAACACACCTTCCACAGCATGAAAGGGGAACCAAGGCGTGTTGTTGCTGCTGGCTGGGGGGTGGCCAGCTTTTATTCCCTTATTTGGCCCTGCCCACGTCCTCCTGATTGGTCCATTTTACAGAGCACTGATTGGTCCATTTACCAGAGTGCTGATTGGTCCATTTACAGAGTGCTGACTGGTCCGTTTTTACAGAGTGATGACTGGTGCGTTTACAAACCTTTAGCTAGACACAGAGCGCTGATTGTTGCATTTTTACAGAGTGCTGGTTGGTGCATTGACAAACCTTTAGCTAGACAGAAAAGTTCTCGAAGTCCCCACTCGACCCAGGAAGTCCAGCTGGCTTCACCTCTCAATATGATAATGCAAATATAGTAAAATGTTAAAGGTAGCATGTTGGTGGTGGGTATTTGGGTATTTACTGTAAAATTCTTTCAACTTTGCTGCACACTTGACAATTTTCTCAATAAAATGCTGGAGAAAAAACTGTGTGCTTACCATTTCATATCAATTATCAAATCAGCAAATAGTTGATTATTCTCAGACTTTTTAAACTACCTACTTTTATATTCATATATTCTAAAGGATCTTTTCTGCTTTCTTAAATCTAGCCAAACGATGATATGTTTCCACTTCTATAAGATATCGCAATTAGATTATGTGAAAATGACCCAGTAGGAAAAGCTAAGAAGACTTTGTTTTTTGAGTTTCATCCATTTACGCAATTTCTTTGGCTGTTTTGTTAAATACTAAGCAGTTGTTATGAGTGTAATAATAATTAATTAAAAGACACCAGCTGACACCAGTTTATAATAACTCATCCATACAGGCAGCTTTACTTCACAAACAAGGATACATAGCAACATACTACTACGTAAAATTGCGTACTTCTCTAGACCTCAGATTCCTCCCTAGAGAGACTCAAAGCTTCCTGTGGCACAGTCTGATCAGGATGAGGATCTCAACAAGCTCTTCAAGAAGCTTAAATCTCCTGTTTAAAGGTAGTATTTATATTCTTTTGACCTCTCTTAATTATTCTGAGAACTCTGGGTAAGTATTTGTCTGTTGACTTGCACATTTCTGAATGTTTCCAGAGTCTACATGAATGGATTGGCAATTTCCCAGGTACAGAATTTTCGAGCCAGGCATGATGTACTTTCCTGAATAGTCAGTGATATTTGAATACTTAGGATTGTTTGTAAACGTCTCATTCCAAAAAGGTCTTCAGATGACTTTTTTTTTTTACTTCTACAGAAGTAAAAAACAGCAATAATTATATATAATTATATTTTTTAAAGTCCAACACATTCGATCTTCAAGGTAACAGGCTGTCTTGATTGTGAACTTGCTTTTGTTTCTCCTTTAGATCTATTTCTAACTTAATAAACCTAGTAATCAGTTTATCAGTTTTATGTGTTTTAAGGTATAGTTATTTATTTATTGCATTAGGAAAAAAAAAAAAGCAGGCTTTATTTCCTGTCAGTACAACAACGACAAAATTAGCAGAGGATGTGATTCCTTTCTTAAAGTCATCCAAAGAGAAACCAGAGGAAAACAAAATATCCAGAAATAACAAATAGGAACAAAAAAAATAAGTCCATGAAAAATCCTTAGAGAAAATTATTTTTCTTTCCTCACGGTTCGTATATAATTATGCTTGTAAGCAATTTACAAATGTATTTTTCCTTTTCTTATACTTTTTCTTTTAACATAATGGTGAATCAGAACTGTGTTGAAATCTTCCATATAATGGCAGATTTATTCATTTATTCCTGTGATTTAATTTTTGCTTTATATATTTATTTTGAGAGCGTTTTATTTTATATTTCCATATTTAGAACGGTTTTATATCTTCTTGATGAATTAAATATTTCAGTATTCACATCTGTAATCCCAGCACTTTGGGAGGCCAAGGCAGATGGATCACGAGGTCAGGAGATGGAGATCGTCCTGGCTAACAGAGTGAAACCCCATCTCTACTAAAAATACAAAAAATTAGCCAGATGTGGTGGCAGGTGCCTGTAGTCCCAGCAACTCGGGAGGCTGAGGCAGGAGAATGGCGTGAACCTGGGAAGCAGTGCTTGCAGTGAGCCAGGATCATGGCACTGCACTCCAGCTGGGGCGACAGAGCAAGACACCAGCTCAAAAAATAAATAAATAAATAAATTGTAGGGAGACCCCCTGAAATGATTGCTACGGAATAAAACATGAAATGCTCCTGGTAATTATAAATACAAAATTGCATACAGGATTGTGTAAAGACAATGCCAGGTTGGACTGCCAGAATGAGCCAACAGTGCATGATGTGCTTCCCCCTGCAGAGAGCCTATGAACGGATGTGCAGTCAGGAAGGTTTCACGTCACCAAGATTCCTATCCCAGAAAAGCAGATGTTCATAGCTCTGGGATTGGATTGCGACCCTTGTGAAGAGTCTATAAGTGGATGAAGGCCGGCCCCTGTTCATATGGATAAGATAGGGCTATAAATGCCCTCATCTTGCCATGAGGCCTCTTTAGGATTAAGGCATACTCCCTTCTGAGAATTTCTGGTCTAACCGGTTGTCTAGCTTCACATGCTGTTTCTATGGATTGTTTGTAACCAGTTTTTGCTGCAACTGTTACTGCTGATTAATATCTTGCTAATCATAGGTTATGGAAAGACTGTATTTCTGTTTCAAGGCTCTGTTAGAAATTACTGATGCACACACTGTATTGTAACATCTTATCTCTGTATACTGTACTTCTGCATACAGATGTTATGCTAAATAATTACTTCATCCCCATGTGGCCATCTCACCTCATAATCAAATGACCCTAAATCCCTCACTAACCTACCCCCACCCTAACTAAACTTAATAATAAATGCTGATATATACAGTGCATTGGCGGCATCATGGGACCAGAAGGCGGTGACGCCCCTGGACCCAGCTTTCACTATCTTGTATGTGTCTATTATTTCTCGACCTGCCAATCTGCCTGGGAACAAAGAAAGAGCCCTGTTGCATTGCGGGCTGCTGGCCAGATCCCACAATATCTGGTGCCTAACGTGGCCTTCTTTGTTCCTCGGCTCAGTGCACTCCGAGTGCGGGTTTGTGATGACTAGTCTTCAGTCTCAACAGTAAGGTCTCCGGGTACGCTTTTTCCGACCCTCCCCTCTTTTTGGTTTTGTCGACTGGTATTATTCCAGGGTTATTATGGGACAATCACCATCTAAACACCAGGCTTATCTGTATTTTATTAAACTTCTTCTTAAACAGGGTGCAATCAAGGCTGATTCCAATAACCTTATTCTCTTATTTCAGACTATTGAAAAATATTGTCCTTGGTTCCCTGACAAAGGTTCTGTGGACCTGTTAGACTGGGATAGAGTTGGCACCACTCTCTGCCAACTCATGAGAGATGGTGTTTTACTTCCTATTTCTGTTTGGACTGACTGGGCTCTTATTCGTGTTGCTTTACTTCCTTTTCAGTCTGGTGATACTCTTCAACTGCCACAAGTTAACGCGGATGTTGAACCACTCCCTTTACCTCGGGTAGCTGACTCCCTACCAATCCTCCTTGTGATGATGAGGAGGAATTCGATCTCTCCTTGTTTTCTCCCCAGGAGAAGGAACCTGGTGATGATACCCTCCCTCCGCCTCCTATCTTGGAACCTGTATATGTTAACTCTTCTTCTACTAAGCCATTGCCCCCTCTGCCAGAGGAGGATGTGTGGCATTCATCTGAATGGCCTGTTTCTTGTTCCTCTTGTCCTTTTGGACCTCTCCCCTCTTCTAAGCCTACTGTTTCTTTCGACGCTCCGGGACCCCTTCTTTCAGAAGCTTGGAATCCTCCTTCCACCTCGTCTGTGTGCCGGCGCCCTCACTCTCCTTCTCTCTTTTCCTCTGCCTCTGCACAATGGATGTGTGAATCACCTGTTTAGGTAGAGCAGTGGCCACTTTTCAAACACAAGTTGGAGGCTTTAATTGAAATTGTTAATGATTTACTACAAGCAAACACTATTGAGCCCTCCTTGTCTCCATGGAACTCGCCTGTGTTTGTTGTACAAAAAAAGTCAGGAAAATGGAGAATGGTAACAGACTTAAGAGCTGTTAATGCAGTTATTAAACCTATGGGGGCGTTATAACCCAGTATGCCCTCCCCCTCCATGATTCCTAAGGAATGGCCTTTAATTATCATTGACCTTAAAGACTGCTTTTTTCATATTCCTTTAGACAAGTCAGACTGTGAAAAATTTGCTTTCACTATAGCTTCCATTAACAATTCAGCTTCTGCAGCTAGATATCAATGGAAAGTTTTATCTCAAGGAATGATTAACAGTCCTACTATTTGTCAGTTTGTCGGTACTGTGTTACAACCTATCCGACAGACTTTTAAAAATAATTACATTCTTCATTATATGGATGATATACTGATAGCTGCTCCCACTAAAGATGAATTAATTCAATGTTTTACCTCTATAGAATAAGCTGTCGCCAATGCAGGACTCAACATTGCTCCTGATAAAATTCAACAAGCCACTCCTTTTCTGTACTTAGGAATGCAGCTAGAAGCTCGCTCCACTAAGCCCCAAAAAGTCCAACTTCATACGACAATTTAAATACCTTCAATGATTTTCAAAAATTACTAGTGACATCAATTATCTCAGACCAACCCTAGGCATCCCTACTTATGCATTGTCTCATCTATTTGCTACTTTATCAGGAGATTCAGATTTAAACAGTCCTCACTCTCTAACTGAACCAGCAAAACAGGAGTTGTCTTTTGTAGAATGAGTGAGAGAGGCACAAATCTCTTGTATTGACCCAAATTTGCCTTTACAATTTTTAGTTTTTCCTTCCATCCACTCTCCTATGGAACTTATAGTACAAAATGATTCTCTAGTTGAATGGGTATTTCTTCCTAATTCAGCCTCTAAAACTCTTTCAATATATCTTGATCAAATGGCCACGTCATTTGATTTAGTGATACGTCAACGTATCACTAAAATTTCCAGCTTTGATCCAGACATTTTTGTGGTCCCTTTGTCAAAAAATGAAGTTAAAAATGCCTTTTCTACATCTTTATGCTGGCAGACTAATCTGGCTGACTTCATTGGCACTATTGATAATCATTTGCCTAAGTCAAAATTCTTTCAATTTCTATGAAATACTTCCTGGACCCTAAAAAAACTTAACTCGTTCATCACCACTAGAGGCAGCCACTACCATTTTTACTGATGGATCCAGTAATGGGAAGGCAAGGTATGTAGGACCAAAAGATAAAGTCATTTCTACTCCATACACTTCTGCTCAAAAAACCTAGTTGTTTGCTGTTATCTCTGCATTACAGGATTTTGATCAGCCTCTTAATATTGTCTCCGACTCAGCTTATGTAGTCCATGCCACTAAGGCAATAGAAACAGCTACCATCAAAAATATTACTGACACTAATATATTTTCCTTGTTCTCTTTGTTACAAAAAACTACCAGAAACTGAAACCACCCTTTTTTCATCACTCACATTCGTTCTCATACTAATTTACCTGGACCTTTATCCAGTGGTAATCATAAAGTTGATACTCTAGTTTCTCTAGCCATTATAGATGCAGAACAATTTCATCAACTCACTCATACTAATGTCTCAGGTCTTAAACATAAATATTCTCTCAGTTGGAAACAACCTAAACAAATTGTACAACACTGTTCTCAATGTCAGGTTCTTGTCTTACCCACACAATCTCCCGGAGTTAATCCCCGAGGCCTTTCTCCTAATGCTATTTGGCAAATGGATGTTACTCATGTTCCTTCTTTTGGAAAATTAGCTTACGTGCATGTCACTGTTGACACCTTTTCCAATTTCATCTGGGCTACCTGTCAAACTAGAGAAGCCATTTCTCATGTTAAAAAACATATGTTTTCATGTTTTGCGGTTATGGAAATTCCTGGTGAGCTCAAAACAGACAATGGTCCAGCCTATTGCAGTAAAGCTTTTAAAAATTTTCCTGATCAGTGGCATATTAAACATGTTACTGGTATTCCTTATAACCCACAAGGCCAAGCTATTGTAGAAAAAAGTAACAGAACTTTAAAATTACAATTACTTAAACAAAAAGAGGGGGATAAGGAGTTGTCTACCCACCACATACAACTAAACTTGGCATTGCTCACATTAAATTTTCTTAATATTCCTAAATCTAGTTCTGTTACTGCTGCCAAAAAAACATTTCTCTGGTAACCGTCCCACAGTAAACCAAGGAAGGGAAGTATGGTAGAAAGATGTTCAATCTACTATATGTTCAAAAGTTTCTATTTTAATGTGGGGAAGAGGCTATGCTTGTGTTTCCCCAGGTGAACATCAATCTCCTGTTTGGATTCCTACTAGACACCTGAAATTGTGGCCTGAAGATGCATGCAAAAAGGAGACGGAGAAATTTGCTGAGAAAACGCCAGAGCAGGAAACACCTAACACATCCAACCATCAAAAAGAAAAAGTAACCATGCTAACTCCTTTACAACAGACAACCCAGTCAGTCATCCTGAACAACTCGTCTCCAGAGATCCAGATCTGGCTCAACCTCTGTCTCCTCCTGATGACACTGATCCTTCTACCCTCTGTCACTCCACAGACTGTTAAAAACTATATATATTGGGCCTATATTCCTTTTCCTCCTCTTATTTGAGCTATGACATGGATGGACGCTCCTATCGAGGTCTATGTTAATGATAGTATTCGGATGCCTGGTTCTGTAGATGATCGTTTTTCTGCCCAACCTGCAGAAGAAGGAACCCCTTTCAATATCACTTTAGGTTTTAGGTATCCACCTTTGTGCCTGGGACCCACTAACGGATGTCTCTCATTAGATATTCAAACTTGGGCAGTCACACTACCATCTGGTCACTCTGTCCCTCCTTTGGGACACTTGGTATCAGGGCTCTCATTAAAACCTCTAAGGCAGATCAAAATAGGAATCGCTGATTATATTCATACATCCCAACATAAGCCTTTATGTTGGCTCAACTTGTCTTCAAATGCTGAAGAATTAATATGGAAGGATTGTGTTAGTTCAGAAGGAACTGTGTTATTTAATTCTTCTCACTACAGCATTGTTGATTGGGCCCCTAAAGGTCATATTACTAATGATTGCTCTCAAGGTCACAGAGATTGTCAACATTTTCTCTATGATATTACTTATCAAAACAATAGTGACAACCCTCCCCTATTATATCGTAGATTTAACTCCTTTTTTCCTTTTAAGTAGAAAGGGGCAGGGGCTGCCCCTCCAAAGCCAAGGCTGGTTGTTCCCCACTTAGGACCTGAACATTCAGAATTATGGAGATTAACCTTAGCTATGACTGGTATGAGAGTTTGGGCTGGAGAAAGTGTTATAAGTAAATTCACTTTGTCACCTCAAAAACTAAGACAACAGATTAATTTATACTACTATTTCCACACAGCCAAAAATATCACTATGGCAATCATCAAAAGGTCAATTCAAAGCTGGGACAGTAAAGATTATGAGGACTTATACCCCCCCCCCCATTGCTAATGTCCCCCCACCACCTCTCATACAACCTATTCCCTCCACCCCACAATCACAAAAAAGAGTACCATCCCAAAATATATATACTATCTATATGGAATCCAACAAGACTATACCACTTAAAAGTTGTGTTAAACCACCATATATGTTATTAGTAGGAAAGATCTAGGTTAGTTCAAAAACCAACATAATTACGTGTTAATTGTTACTTGTATGCTTGTATTGACTCATCCTTTAATCAATATCATAGTATTTTAATAGTCAGAGCCAGAGAAGGTATTTGGCTCCCTGTAGCCTTACATAGGCCTTGGGAATCTTCCCCTTCTCTCCATGTTATTAATAATATTCTACAAAAAATTCTTAGAAAGAGTAAACGATTTATTTTTACATTAATTGCAGTAATAATGGGCTTGATTGCTGTTACTGTGACTGCTGCTACTGCTGGAGTTGCATTACATCAATCTATTCAAACTGTTCATTTTGTGGATAAATGGCAAAAAAATTATACTCAGATGTGGAATTCTCAGTCAGGTATTGATCAAAAATTGGTCAATCAAATTAATGATCTAAGACAAACTGTTATGTGAGTGGGAGATAGAATTATGAGTTTAGAACATAGATTACAAATGCAATGTGATTGGAATACTTCTGATTTTTGTATAACTCTGTTTCAATATAATGAGTCTGTTCACAATTGGGAATCAGTAAAATGCCATTTACAAGGAAGTGAAGATAATTTAAGTTTAGACATAAGCAAGCTAAAAGAACAGATTTTTGAGGCCTCTCAAGCACACTTAACTGCTTTACCTGGTGCTGAAGTTTTAGATGGTATCTCTGAGGGGTTATCTAATCTCAACCCCATTCAATGGGTAAAATCTTTGGAAGGATCTACTATCGTTAATTTTGTTCTGAGTACAATTTGTGCCATTGGTTTTTGTTCATGTGTAAAATTGGAAAAAATTTTCTTCAATCCAATCATGATCAGTGCCAAGCTATGATTGCTATGGTTCATTTAAATCAGAGAAAAGGGAGAGATGTAGGGAGACCCCCTGAAACTATTGCTACGGAATAAAACATGAAATGCTCCTGGTTATTGTAAATACAAAATTGCATACAGGATTGTGTGAAGACAACGCCAGGTTGGGCTGCCAGAATGAGCCAACAGTGCATGATGTGCTTCCCCCTGCAGAGAGCCTATGAACAGACATGCAGTCAGGGAGGTTTCACATCACCAAGATTCCTATCCCAGAAAAGCAGATGTTCATAGCTCTGGGAATGGAATGTGACCCTTGTGGAGAGCCTATAAATGGACGCATGAGGGGTGCCTGTTCATATGGATAAGATAGGGCTATAAACGCTTTCATCTTGCCACGGCTCTTCTAGGCCTCTTTAGGGTTAAGGCATACTCCCTTCTGAGAATTTCTGGTCTAACCGGTTGTCTAGCTTCACATCCTGTTTCTATGGATTACTTGTAACCAGCTTTTGCTGCAACTGTTACTGATGATTAATATCTTGCTAATCATAGGTTATGGAAAGACTGTGTTTCTGTTTTAAGGCTCTGTTAGAAATTACTGATGCACACACTATATTGTAAATTCTTATCTCTGTATACTGTACTTATGCATACAGATGTTATGTTAAAGAATTACTTCATCCCCATGTGACCATCTCACCTCATAATCAAATGACCCTAAATCCCTCACTAACCTACCCCCGCCCTCACTAAACTTAATAATAAATGCTGGTATATACAGTGCATTGGCGGCATCACGGGACCAGAAGGCGGTGACCCCCCTGGACCCAGCTTTCACTATCTTGTGGGTGTCTATTATTTCTTGACCTGCCGATCCACCTGGGAACAAAGAAAGAGCCCCGTTGCATTGCGGGCTGCTGGCCAGATCCCGCAATAATAAATAAATAATTCAGTATTATTTAGTGACTATAATGTTGTTTGGTTTAAAGTTGTGTAGTCTAATGTTAGTAGAGCAACACCATATGGCTGGTTTTTTCCTGATATATCCTTTTCCATTCTTTAATTTTCAGTCTTTGCATATTACATGTTTTAGATGTATCTTTCATAAAAAGCATGAAGCTAGATTTTTTCATAGTGTGACAGCCTGTGCTTTTTAACTGTAATTCTAATCACTATTTATTGACAATGATTATATATTTGCACATTTTTATCTAACCTTTTTATTTTAATTTTTACCCCACTTTCCATGTTTGTTTCTTCTATTTCCTTACCTATATAAAAATTAATATCTATATATTTCTTTAAGCAAAACAAAAACTTTAACATTTTCTAAATATCTCTAGTTTTGCCTTTTCCTCTTTTAAATGTGCATGATTTTATATTAAGTAGGTATTTTCATCCTAGGCTATCATGAAAATATATATTTTTTTCTTTTGTGGAAAAATGCCATACATTTTTAAATAACAATTTTACCAAGGTATCTTAAAACTCTTAATTTTTTTTATGAAAAAATATGCAGCATTGTCAGTATATTTTTTAGAAGTTCCTTCAAAAAGTTCTTTCGATGAAGGCTTTTATGTAGTATAACTTCAGAGGTTTAAGTAGCTGAATATATGATTGCTCGAACATTGAAATATCAACATGGAAGATAAATGGTTCTAAATCCAAGTTATATGCCTTCAATATGTTAAAAATATGACTCCGTTGTCCTTTTGTATACAATGTTGCTATAATGAAGACTGCTGTTCATCTTCGAATATGTTTTGCTCCTTCAGGAGTCTTAAAATTTTCCTACTAAGTACTGCACTTTATTATAACATGTCTGGATGTCAACTTTTTCTTGTCTCTCCTGTTTAACACTCTGTGCCTTGTTCATCTGAGGCCATTTATTTTTCTTTAATTCTGTCATGTTCATCTACATTATGTTTTCAATATTTGCTACTCTTTATTTTAATAATTTCCTCACTACAATTTATATTAGCTGTATCGTACTAGATCTACTTCTATAATCTATGTGTCTTAACATTTTCCTTCTTTAAAAAAAAATTTTAATTGTTCTACACTTCATTCCAAGAGAGCTCCTTAGATTGTTATTTTAACTCCTTAATTTATCTTTCACCCTCACCCATTCTATTTATTATATGTATTGCATTATTTATTTTAACTATTATAGTTTTATATCTAATATTTTTGTTAATTCTTAAAATTACTTTTTTATATTGAGAATATATTATTGATATATCTTCCCCTGGAGAGATAAAGAGTGGATTGAACTACTAAGCATGACAGTAGTCTAAAGCAAAGTTTGGCTTATGGTAGCAATTGTAAAATAGATAACAGATATGTCTTTTAAGCTTTTCTCTTGTAGCACTCTGCTATTAGCTTGAAATCATGCCTGCATCCTCACTAGAGAAATTAAGGAGATTGATCCTATGTTGGTAAAGGTGACTATGAGAACAATACAAAGCCTGTGCAAAAATTCTACTTGGGTGAGGTACTGATTAAAACAACCATTGTAACTATCTGGGCAGTCATTCTTCGGCCCTTCCATCTGGAAACTCCTGGGGCTCTCAGGTAACGAACTAGAAGGACAACCTCCTTCGAGTGCTATTTCTTCCAGTGAAAAGCCCTCATCTAAGGAGATGCTTAGTGGAGAGATGAATGGCAAACATTACCCATTCTAATGTGGAACCCAGTGCCTTCTGCCTTAAGGGTTATCGCCTCCCTTTATCCTGGAACTCACTAGGGGTAAATAATATTGTTAAGAGCAGAATTTTTTAAAATTGAAATTACAGACAAGGTGATGATCAACAAAGTTGGTACTTTGAAAGAGTAATATATTAGACAAACATCTGATAAAATCTCATGAAGTAAGAGAGAATAGAGGGAAGCCATGGATAAATTGTATTTTGAATGCCAAAAGGGACATAAGTACAGAAATAGAAAATAATTTTTAAATAAAACTACTACTAATTTTATGCCAATATAGCTAAATACTTAATAGACACATTTCTAAAAATTAATGTTTATCAACTTACAGAAAAAATAATAGAAAGTCAAGTAGTTTTATAAATTTTTTATAAAGAAAACACCTGATAGTTTTATAGGCAAATTCCACCAAATTTCCACGAAAAGATCATTTTAATTCTATGACTACTTTTCAAAAAAAATAGACAAAATAAATATTTTCTTACTTATTTAATGAATCCAGGATAATCCTGATACAAAATTGAAAAAGCACATTATAAGAAAGAAAATGTTACATGAAACTGTGATGCAGAAAACTGTATCAACACTATTGAGATTAAAAACAAAAACAACACTATTGAGATTAAAAACAAAAAAAAATTGGAAGATTCAATGTTATAAAAATGTCAATTCTCCCAAAACTGATCTATGAATTCAGTGCAATGCCAAACAAAACCCTATTAAATTTTCATTTTGGGTGCTGGGGTATAAATTGATAAGCTGATCCTAAAATTTGTATGTGAATGCAAACCAACTAAAAATATCCATGAAACTCAAGAAAAACGAAGTGAGTTAAAATTAATTCCTATGTTCCATATCAAGCTTATAAAAGTATAACAATTAGGTCAGTGAGGTATTGATGCAAAAGAACGAACAAATATAGGAAAGAAATCAAATAAGGAGCCCAAGAACAAATCTCCAACATACCTGACACTTGATAATTGAAAAAAGTCACTTTAGAGTAAAATAACTCATATTAAGTAATAAGAACGTATGCAACCCACTTATAAATAAACAAAAGAAATGGCCAAGAGACTTTAACACACAATTTACAAATCGGGATAGCCAAACAGCCAGAAAGTATATTAAAGGGTTTCCAACCATAGTAGTAACCAGAGAATTAAATTAAATCAAATTAAAACCACAATGAACCATTGTGGGTTTGGGTAAGATGAAGCATACTCTAGCCTGTCTCCCTCCATGAACACAGGTATAAAATCTTGTCAGAATGCATGAAGCAGCTGTTTGAAGGCACAGAAAATTAAATAGCAGCGGAAGAACTGGGGGAGAAGACCAGAATCAAAGTGTCACTGAATTGGCAGTATTCAATATTGTTTTCTTTCAATATACCCTGACCTGAACTCAAAGCTCCAGTGCCCCCAAAAATTAGCACTGGGATACAAATGGATAATATATCTAGTTTGAGGGGCTGGAAAAGGAACTGCTAATGTTCAGTAAGAGAGCAGCATTATGTGTTTTGTTTGTTGTTTGTTGTTTGTTTTTTTTTTGTTTTTTTCTCTTTCTCTCATCTCTTCATTGTCTGGCCCCACAGTTTCCAAGAAGTTCCATGGTCATGGTGGTGGTGGTGATGTTGGCAATGACTGGTAGAAAGAGCCCCACAGGAACCAAAACTCTGAAAGTTTCTTTCTAGTTGGTGAAGTAGGGGTTTCCAGAAGGTGGGACCAACCCCATTGCTTTTTTTCTCTGTCCGTCCTCTCATTGCTTGACCCAGATGTGAGCACAGTTGTGTAATTACAAAGCAGAAAGGCATAGTTAAACCCTCAACTTCTTGCCAGAAGGCCAAAAAATAAAATAAAGTACTTGATGACCTATAGTAAAAGTAGTAGCAATGGAGTAAAATGTATGACAACACTGCAAAAAGGATGTGAAGAATTGGGAATGTACTGTTGTATGTGAAGTGAAGCAGAATGTGATATTATGATATAAGAAAGTGTATTGGGTCTTTGTGCCAGTTCCTAACATAAGAACTTCTAAAACGCTTGGAAATGTGTAAGTGACAGGGGTGACAGGAATACCTTTTGTTACTCTTAATAAGCTTCCTTCAACCATACTGGATTTTATGCTAATGAAGTGACTTTTGGTGGACCCATAGATAGCTTCATATGCAAACGGGCTGCTCAAGGACCAACCATGTCGTTAGAGGGTTGGAACTTTCAGCCCTATCCCCTGATCTCCCAGAAGTGGAGAGGATCTGGAGATTGAGTAATCACCAAAAGCCAATGATTTAATCATTCGTGCCTACATAAAGAAATATCCGTTAAAAATGCCTAGCCAATAAAATTTGGATAGCTTCTAGTCTGGTGAACACACTGAGGTACTGAAAGAGTGATATGCCTAAAAAGGACATAAAAGCACCTCTTCCCATATACGCTGCCCTGTGCATCTCCTCCATTCGACTGTTTCTGACTGATATCCTTTAAAATAAGAACTGTTAATAGTAAATTGTTAATACTAAAAGAACTGTTAATAGTAAATAAATAGTAAATAGTAAATAAATGATAAGAACTGTTAATAGGAAATAAAATAGTAAATAAAGCACTCTCCTCAGTTCTGTGAGCCATTCTAGCCAATTACAGAACCTGAGGAAGGGGTTGTGCACCCCTGACTTATAGTTGGTCAGAAATATGGGTTGCCCAGACTTGTGACTGACATCTGAAGTGGAGACAGTCTTGTGGGATTGAACCCTTAACAATGTGGGATTTGTGCTAACTCCAGGTAGTGTCTACATTGAATTGATTGATTGGCAGGACATTGAGTTGGGTCAAGGGAGTTGAAAAATTGATTGGTGTGAGGAAAACCCTACACATTTTGTGTCAGAAGTATTGTGAGTACAAACAGTTTAGACAGTATATTATTCGAAGATAGATTGTGACTAATTAAAGACATAATTATATACATATATGCACTCACACTAACGAGACAGTAGTGAAGATAAAACAATCATGAAACATAAATAATCCAAAATTAGAAGAAAGTAATTAGAACAAAGAGGAAAAGGAAAAAAATCTAGCAAGATGGCATGATTTCATCTAATGATATCCATAATTACATTAAATATAAAAGACTTAAACACTAATCGAAACGAAGTTTGGATCTAAAGACCAATCAAAAGAAAGATTGGATAAAAAGTGAGACTCACATACCTGCTGTTTACAAGAAACTCACATTAAAGAGAAAACAGATAGGTTAAAAGTATAGAACAAGATGCACCATGCAAACACTAATCAAAGGGGAGCAGGTGTATTTGTCTTAATAAAAGGCAAAGTAGACTTGAGAACAAAGGATATTGCCAGGGCATTAAGATAGATATTACATACTCATAACAAGGCCAATTCATTTATAATATCCTAAATGTGCATCCATCTAATAGCAGAGCTTAAAAATGAAGCAAAACTGATAAAATTTAAAGCAGAATAGATAATCTACAATTACAATTGTAGACTTTATCACTCTTATCTCAGTAATCGGTACAGCAAGTAGACGGAAAATCATTTAGCATGCAGAAGACATGAATAAGACTATGCACCAACTTGACCTAGTTAATATTTATTGGATACTTCATCCAACAACATCAGAAAATACAATCTTAAACTGTACATCAATTACCAGGATAGCCCATATACTAGGCCTTTAAAAAGGCCTCACAGATTTTTAAATGACTTACATCATACAAAATATGTTCTCTTATCATAATGGAACTAAACTAGAAATCAATAACAAAAAGATATATGAAAATTTTCCAAATATTGGGAAATTAAATAGCATACTTCTAATGAACTCAAGTCAAAGAATCAAAAAGGAAATTAGAAAATATTCTCTTTTTTGACTGAGTTGTGATTACATGGAATTTCATGTCACAAAAATTTATCATGTATACATTTTGTTTGTTGTACTTTTCTATATGTATATTATACTTCTCAACACAGTGAAATAAGAACTATAATGGACAAATGTCTAGAAAAATGTAATTTAGCGAAATAGAGTCAAGATGAACTAGAAAGAGAAGTTGGAGCAAGACTGGAGCTGCAGTAGGCAGCCTAGTTGGGTAAATTCCACAAGCCCCCAACCAGTCAAAGAAAATGATATAGCAAAGAAAAAAATCCACGGACAACATTTCAACAAAACTATATGACATGTTATCTCCATAGATTCCAAAATACAAGTGGGTGCCATCAAATTTCAACAGTAATAATAAAATGTGTGGCATCAGCAAAGTGCCCAACAATGAAAGCAAAGGAAAAGCAAAATGACTTTTGAGAATCCCATATATTGAATTGTTGACAGGTAGTCATCTCTGCAGCAGAGTCCCTGCTCAATAAAGCTCAGCAGGCCAATCTGCAAAGAGCAGACAAATCTAGAAAGAGGTTAAGTGAGAGTGAGGGGAACACAAAATTCAGGTGGTGCTGGAGGGATATGGGTTTATGAACTTTTGAAACTAACCAACTGAAGTTCTCTCAAGCTAGAATGAGCAAAACAGGGACAACAGTGGCTAAGGGATGGTACAGATAAAAACTGGAGAAGGAGAGCAGAGGAGACACATCTCAGAAAGGTCATATTTTTAGCACTTCACAATAAGAACAGAAGAGGGAGCTCTAGAGCCATGAAACTAGGAGCGTCTCCGGACCCATACTTCCCTACTAATAATAGTTTAGGAAAATCCATCTTACTTAGTACTTGAGCAGCAGAAAATGGTGGCAGTTAAATCTCAAAGTATGTCACAAAGTTTTGTAAAAATCCACCTTTTAAAAAGGCAAAAGAAACCTTTATCAAACGAAGGCTTTTATTAAGTGTTAACAATGTATCGTTACAAGATTATGTGACACATAAGAGACTAAGATGATGTTTTATGTGGCACTTATTAGCATCTATTGTTCTTTAGTTTTGATTAAGAAATAATTTTATGCCAATATAACTACCATAATATACATAAAACTCAGAGTCCTGGAATTTTTGCTTGGTGGTTTCTTGTAGTTAAAATGCATCGCTGGGTCAAATAAAATATCTTAAAACACTTAAAGAAACTTTTGGTAATAGCAGAGAAGATAGAAGATGTTGCACAGTGATGGATGACAACATAAACCTAGATCTATTAAATTCAGGAGCTTGCATCATTAATGTCAGTAATTATTTCAAGCAGTGACTGCCCAGAGGAAAAGTGGTCTGTGCTGCTGCAGAAAACAGCAGAGCAATAGCTTTTGGCCATTGCACAGATTTACAACACTATAAAAACTGATTAGTTTGGGCTTTCCCATTCTTTCTTCAAACACCTATAGTGAGTATAATGGAATTGGACTAAATAGCCAAAAGAAAGAGGCACATGGTTTTACAAGTGGCAGTTATGGGTAGAGTTTAGGTTCTGATTGAATATGAAGACTTTTGATACTGTTTCTAACTGGGCCCTAACTGAGTTCCCATTTTTGAAGATCCAGTTCTGAAACTCAGCCTACATTTTACTTTGCTTTTCAATTTCACTAGTTGGTGCCTCTTTATTTAAAAAAAGTATTTGTTTTTGTTAACTGTACAAATATTTGTCTGTCTAGTATAATTGCAGGAATTTATGTAACTGCCAAAGTAAGTCCTTTCAAAATGGAAGTTTGAGATAATTATATAGACTCAGATATTAAAAATATGTACTTTTAATAGTATCAGCAGTAATATTTTCAACTGAGAAGTGATTCCATTAAAACATGACAAAACATGATAAATCTATTAATAAAAACTCTGAAATAAGACTGTTACACAGTGTTTAATAATTAAATTAACTTTTTTACTGTTTTACATACTTGAATCCAATTTTCCTCCTAGCTATTAAAAGAAAAATCATATTTCAAATAAAACAGAAGCAAAATCTTTTGGCTTGTACTATTACAGTAGTCTCTTCATCTAATCTCCTCACCTCTGCTCCTTTTCTTACCCTAACCATCACCTGTTCTATTTCCAATATAAAATACCTTCCTGTCATATTTATCATTCCTCTTTTCAAAATCCCATCAATATAATAGCAAGTGGGTTAAAAGATTTAATCCATAACAGCAATGAGGATTGAAGTTAGAAATATCAGAAGACCTAAGATCATGATGAATTTATGCAACAGGGGATAAAGGGACTGTGTTGACAGATAAGCCAGGGATGGAGGTAGATCTTGAATAGATACAAAGAAAGATGGATCAAAGACAAAAGCTGTTCCTGGTATGAAGGACAGGTGAGGGAACTGTGGCATAAATCAAGATTGAGTACTTTCTGGAAACACAGAATATTATACTTAGGAAGAGCTAGTGCTCCCGGGTTGGGGCCTAGGGAGCATGGGTGAATGCATAGCTAATCTATCTGCTTGGTTTACATATACACAAAGTAAAATCTGCCATGGACAAGCTTAATACATATTTGTTGAACAAATTAATAAATGAATGCAGAGATATTATTTCTATTACACACCAGTCATGAGGAAAATCAATGGCCTAAGCTGTTATCCTGGAAACACTGAGCTCCAGACCCACAGTTAGAAAAATTTTAACTCCTCCAACTCCTCCCAAGAGACTAGAAAGGTTAGAAGGGAAAAAATACCCAGTGGCAACTTTTCCAAGGGTTCACACTATCTCAATTCCCAATATCAACTCACTATTGCTCCCATACCTTACATTTCCCAGCCTCAACCATTACTGCAGTTTATGACTCCTCTCCAGTTGCTCCTAATTACTCAGTCAGGTGAGCGTTACCATCCCTGCTCCAGCTTATCACCTAGGAGCCATAGCTCCTTCCACCCGACAGAGAAATTTCTCTCTGTGTGACAGTGATTTCAATCCACGTTAGATAATTGGATTTCTAAGTGATAAAATTCTTTCATTCTACCCAAAGTAGCCATATTCTTTTAGGGTAAGTTGCATTTGTCAAGGAGCGGGCTAAAGAGTTCTTTGTGTGACACGCCCCTGCCTCCCATGTTTAGACTTACTCTAAAGCAATTACTTTGTCCCCTTGAGAGTGTACTGAAACTTGAGCTGTGTTTTGCCTTCTTTCTCCTGCCATAGTAAGAGACTCTGACCTGGTGTGGACCGACCATTATTACCCATGTCCCTTAATCCTGATATTTGCTCATACAATCATCAATTACCGGCTTTCCTTGACTCTTCCAAATTGCCTAGGGAATCTTATGCACAAAGGAACCCAGCGGTCTGCTGAGATGACCAAGAATTCTTGAAATGAATGGTCCTGTAAGGTAAACTAAATTGTAATTATTATAATTATATATTCAATACATTTAGAAGTTTTTCATTTGAAAAGCATACTGGCTATATTTTATCACTAGAATTATTTTAGCAACAATTATTTCTTATAATTTAAAAGCAATGGAGTATAATATTATGAAGTTATTAGACTGGCTTACTCACATGAAGATATCAGTCCTCTATCTTTTTGGTTATATCATGTTATTTTGACTTCACATTCCTCACTTTCTTCATTTACTTTACATATCTAATTTTTTCACTGTGTTCATTGAGAATCTCAAGTCAAGATGATCTTATGATAGCTCTCAGTGGCTTGAGCATCAATAAGTCAAAACGGGAGCTTTTACAGCTTTAAAAGTTGAAAGAATTTCTGTGATAAAGAAACTTGATCCCCCAAAATAATGAATTACAGTTGTAAATTTTGTATTTCTTGACATTTTTATTCCACTGCTAAAGATTTTACTTACTCTTTTTAATAATTTTTGTGTTTCCTTCCATGCAAATCAGAATCCCTAGTTTTATTTTTCATTTTTTCTTTTGTGTTCATGTAACAATTTGCTGACACAGAAACATCTACAATGTATATGCATACAGGTTTTGTTTAACAAAAAATAGTCTTATACACATACTTTTGTGTTTTCTTGCTCTCTCTTCATGTGACATGCAGGCTCTCTTCTGCCTTCCACCATAATTGTAAGCTTCCTAAAGTCCTCACCAGAAGCACATGCTGGCAGTGTGCTTTATGTATAGCCTAACTAACTATAAGAGAAATAAACTTCTTTTCTTTATAATTTACCCAGCCTTAGATATTTCTTTACAGCAACACAAATGGACCAACACACTTGGTTTGTGCATTCAACAATATGGGGATCCCGTGAAGTGGGATAAAACTCTTAGGTCATTTGCTTTAATGGATGTGCCATGATTTAGTCAGCTCTTTTCCCATTCATTGATGGGCATTCATTTTGTTTTCAATTTTTCCTGATTACAAACAATGTTGCCATAAATATTTGTTTCAATTTTTGATTTTTTCCTAATTACAAACAATGCTGCCATAAATATTCTGTACCAATATATTCAGTACAGGTGCTTTTATTTCTGTGGGAGTCAATTCCTAGGGGGAAGATTGCTGAATCTAAAGGTACGTGTATTTTTAATTTTAATACAGGTTGCCAGATTGCTTTCCAACACTTTGCTTCTCTGCCAACTATACATAAAAGTACTGCTCTAGGTTTCCCTTCTTTTAAAGTACAGATTTTTAAATTTCTGTCTTAGCAAATTTCAAATGTTCAATATATTAGAAGGATTATTACTGATAATACTGCTTTCCATTAAGCACTGTTCAATATGAATTTTATGAATCCAAGCACTATAGTTTCTCTTCATTTTCTACCCTTACCTGTATTGGTAATTTTGTCATCAAATAAAACAAAATAACCTAGACAGATGGCCTTTCCTACTATTTTCCTGAGAAGCTAATATCATTAAAACTCAATTTACTCCCAAAGTTATTGTAATGGTTTCAAATCTTGCCTTGCAGTGTTTGAGTAAAGAATTGCTCCCCTCCCTACCTCTATGCTAACAATAATTTTACTGATGATTAGTTTTATTTATACTGAAACTAAAGAGAATGGGAGTAAGAAAGCAGATAATAACACTTCAGTCATAGTGGATTCTCAATATAAGGGATGCTAATGAGCAGCAGTTTTTTAATATTGTTGATATCCAAAGGCAAACTGCTTGAGGACAGTCTTAATTCCTGTGTGTCATTTTTGAAGTGTCAAATACTCATTAAGTACTGGTTAATTATGATTATAGATCAGATTCGAAAAGTTCTCTTTTATTTCACTAATATATCTGTAGAAAAAGAGGTAGCTCAGGACTATCACATTCTCACAAATTATCTTAAAATAACATTTTCTTATTTAAATGGAATGTACATGTGTACTTATAAAATAGGTGACGTTTCCACTAATAACACAATAAAAATATTGTTCCATCAGTATTCCACATTGTCTACAACTCTCACCAAGATTCCTTTTAATAAGGAAGGCAAAGGCAATTCATATTTTAGTATCTACTATGCCCACAGCCCTTACTGTTTTATAATCTCATTTAATAAGTTTATTTTGAAAATGCCAGTGGAATCTGGGAAGATCATCTGAAACTTTTATCAGCCATCTGTGCCTCACTGGAAATTAAGCGTCAGTACCATAGCACAGAATATTAGAACCAATAGTTAGACAAGATGATCCCAATAAGTCATGTAGGTCAGTAACTCTTGTTTTACACCGGAAGAAACTGAGGCCTACAAACATTCAGGTGCTAAGATGAAAAGGTTAGTTCACAGTAGCAAGACTAGAATACACATTTATTGACATTCTGTCTTAGTGTTCTTCTCTGCACTATCTAACATGATTAAACCTGAAAGGAGATTAAAGTTGAGTAAAGCTCTAGACTGCAGAATGTAAGAACCGGGGTGTATTGGAAGGAGAACGGAAAGAAATCAATTGGTTCCCTAAGGAAAATTAATGGCAAATAAAGAGAAGGTAGGTGGGTGATGGAGAAGGGGTACTGATAAATTCCTTACAGAGCAGTTTTGTCAGGGCCATCACAGCAGCTACACAGCATTTTAAAACAGCATTAAACCTATTGTCAAGATCCTCTCACACAGTAAAACTAGTATGGATGGGGGCCTTTCAAGGTTATATCCTTTCATCTACTCTCTAAAGCTGTTTTATAATAGTCAAGAGGATTCTGTACAGTGCTTTATTTCAGCTTTGCTCTCATTAAGGACTCATAAACTTAATTACTAAATATTCCTTAAGAAACCCAGCTTGAAATAATTACTTCATTAGAGAAATTTAGCAGTGTTCATTCTAACTCTCTTGAATAGATTCTTATTTTAGAGTTGCTGAAGGTTTTACTTGTCCTTTTATTCTAAATGCAAACCTTTCTCACCTTCATGTCGCTCATAGAACTGCATTTCAAATACCATGTAAGGAGAAATTTTTAAAATACTACATGATGTCATTTTGAAGGCTATTCCAAATTAGCATGAACTACAGCTTAAAGAGTTCTAGATACATGTATTGTTGGTAAATATTATATAATATATGGTAAAATAAGAAAAGGAAAAGTTGGTTTTAAAAGAAATTGTGTTTCACTGTGGCAATTCCTTAAAGAACTAAAAGTAGCAATCTCATTACTAGTTACCTACCCAGAGGAAAATAAGTCATTATACAAAAAAGATACTTGCACATTTATAGCAGCACAATTTGCAATAGCAAAAATGTGGAACCAACCCAAATGCCCATCTATGAATGAGTGGATAGGGAAAATGTTTTATATATATATATATATATATATATACACACACACACACACACACACACACACTGTGGAATACTACTCAGCCATGAAAAGGAATGAAATAATGGCATTCACAGCAACCTGTATGGGATTGGAGACTATCATTCTAAGAGAAGTAATTCAGGAACGGAAAGTCAAACATCATATGCTCTCACTCATAAGTGGGAACTAAGCTCTGAGGAAGCAAAGGCATAAGAATGATACAATGGATTTGGGGACTCGCGGGAAAGGGTAGAAGGGGGATGAACGACAAAAGACTACACATTGGGTACAGTATACACTGCTTGGGTTATGGGTGCACCAAAATCTTAGAAATCACCACTAAAGGACTTACTTATGTAACCAAACACCACCTGTTCCCCAAACTAAATATTTTCTTGAAATTAAAAAAAGAAAAAAAAAGTTTTTGACTACGGCATTTTACTCATAATAAAAATAATTATTTAATAATATTTGTCAAAAAAATAAACTGATTGTTAAACCTGAAAATTCTCTAAAGAGTATTAAATAAATCAAGTTAGGTCTAATATTAGCTACTGGAATATTAAAAGATAGTTGTTTTAAGTTTCAAGGTGAATTGCTGCATGTTACTCCTTTGCTGAAAAATCTTCAGTATTTACTTAGCCTACAGGAGAGAGTCTAAATTACTTGACCAATAAGCTTATCTTCTAGTATTTTTCCTTAAACAAATCTCCACCCTCGTCACAGGACCTTACTCAAGCTCCTTTCATTGCTCCTCTACAGCCTCACTGTCTTCAAGCTATTCTCAATATTCCCTCTCTGCCTCCATCCTGTGTGCTCCTCACTGTTTCGCTTTATTCCTATCCATTCCACATGAGCCAATTAAAATTCTGTTTCTCACTTGATTACTCAGCTCAAAGTAATGTCTCCTACCTCGAATATTCCTATCACCAAATGCCCTTGATATACAGCTCAGGATATACAAAGTATGAAATTGTACCCTTACCTTTTGTGCTGCACATGTTTTATCACTCTGAAGCATACTATAAACTCCTTGCAAGTAGAGATCATCTTATATTTGATGTCCTAACAGAGTAGACTCAGATACTCTTGATAGATTGAAATTAGAGCTTATTATCAAGGGATCCTATAATATGAAGGGTATGTATGTAATTTTCACGTGGAACATATTTTCGAGTTCAATCATTTTTGAGTTTAAATAATCACTGCTTCTAATATCAAAATGAATTTAAAAATTTATCTGCATAGTATGATCACAATTTTGTCCAAATGTAAAGATTAAATTTCAGTTCATGAGAAATATTTTCTTAAATCTGAATACAACATATCTGGGTGGTAGAGTTGTTGGAAAGACAAAATGTACATGCAGATATTTTGAAAACAATAAATCACTATACAAAGGTACAGAGCATACTGTCTTTTCAGTGTTGATGTATTAGGCACATACTGTCTATTCAGTACCTGTCACTTCTATTTCTTCCCTGTTTTTTGCATTTAGCAATCTGAAGAGAATTGGGCTTTATGAAATCCTGCTGAGCTCATGGCTGAGATATGGCTCCAGTATGGTTGAATCCTAATCAAGTTTTCTTCCCCAGAGTAGGGATGGGGGCAGTTTCTCCAATACTGTTCTTGTGGTAGTGAATAATTCTCACAAGATCTGATGGTTTTATCCAGGATTTCTGCTTTTGCATCTTCCTCATTCTCTCTTTGCCTGCTGCCATCCATGTAAGATGTGACTTGCTCCTCCTTGCCTTCTGCTGTGATTGTGAGGCTTCCCCAGCCATGTGGAACTGTAAATCCAATTAAACTTCTTTTGTAAATTGCCTAGTCTTGGGTATGTCTTTATCAGCAGCATGAAAATAGACTGATATGGTAAATTAGTACCAGTAGAGTGGGGCGTTGCTGAAAAGATACCTGAAAATGTGGAAGTGATTTCCAAACTGGGTAACAGGCAGAGGTTGGAACAGTTTGGAGAACTCAGAAGAAAATTAAAAAAAAAACAAAAAACTGTGGGAAAGGTTGGAACTTCCTAGAAACTTGTTCAATGGCTTTGCCCAAAATATTGATAGTCATAGGGACAATAAGTTCCAGGCTGAAGTGGTCTCAGATGGAGATGAGGAACTTGTTGGGAACTGAAGCAACTTGTTGGGAACCCAGTGGGAGATAACTGAATCATGGGGGCAGTTTCTCCCATACTGTTCTCATGGTAGTGAGTAAGTCTCATGAGATCTGATGGTTTTATCTGGGGTTTCTGCTTTTGCATCTTCCTCATTCTTTCTTTGCTGCCATACATGTAAGATGGGGCTTGCTCCTCCTTGCCTTCCACCATGATTGTGAGGCTTCCTCAGCCACGTGGAACTGTAAGTTATATGACTCTTGTTACGTTTTAGCAAACAGACTGGTGGCATTTTGCCCCTGCCCTAGAGATTTGTGGAACTTTGCATTGAGAGAGATGATTTAGGGTATCTGGTGGAAGAAATTTCTAAGCAGCAAAACATTCAAGAGGTGACTTGGGTGCTGTTAAAAGCATTTCCATTTTAAAGGGGAAACAGAGCATAAAAGTTTTTAAAAATTGCAGCCTGACGAGATGGAAAGGAAAATCCCATTTTGTGAGGAGAGATTCAAGCCTGCTGCGGAAATTTCCATAAGTAATGAGGAGCCAAATGTTAATTCCCAAGACAATGGGGAACATGTCTCCAGGGCATGTCAGAAGTCTTCATGGCAGCCCCTCCCATGACAGGTGCAGAGGCCTAGGAGGAAAAAGTGGTTTTCTCGGCAGGGCCTAGGGTCCCTCAGCTGTGTGCAGCCTAGGGAATTGGTGCCCTGTGTCCCAGCTGCTCTACCCATGGCTGAAAGGGGCCAACGTAGAACTCAGACCATGGTTTCAAATGGTGCAAGCCACAGCCTTGGAAGCTCCCATGTGGTGTTGAGCCTGTGGGTGCACAGAAATCAAGGATTGAGGTTTGGGAACATCTGCCTAGATTTCAGAAGATGTATGGAAATACCTGGATGCTGAGGCAGAGGTGTGCTTCAGGGGCAGGGCCCTCATGGAGAACCTCTGCTAGGGCAGTTCAGAAGGGAGATTTGGAGTCAGAGCCCCCACACAGAGTCCCTGTTGGGGCACTGCCTAGTGGAACTGTGAGAAGAGGATCACCATCCTCCAGACCCCAGAATAGTAGATCCACTGAGGGCTTGCACTGTGTGCCTGGAAAAACTGCAGGCACTCAATGCCAGCCTGTGAAAGCAGCCAGGAGAGAGACTGTACCCTGCAGAACCACAGGCGTGGAGCTGCCCAAGACCATGGGAACCCACCTCTTGCATCAGTGTGACCCAGATGTGAGACATGGAGTCAAAGAAGATCATTTTGGACCTTTGAGATTTGAGTGCCCCGCTGGATTTCGGACATCCATGGGCCCTGTATCCCCTCTGTTTTGGCTAATGTCTCCCATTTGGAATGGTTGTATTTACCCAATGTCTGTAACCCCATTGTATCTAGAAAATAACTAGCTTGTTTTTGATTTTACAGACTCACAGGGGGAAAGAACTTGCCTTGTCTTAAATGAGACTTTGGACTGTGGCCTTTTTGAGTTAATGCTGAAATAAGACTTTGGGGGACTGTTGGGAAGGCATGATTAATTTTGAAATATGAGGACATGAGATTTGAAAGGGGCCAGGGGCAGAATGATACGGTTTGGCTCTGTGTCCCCACCCAAATCTCATCTTGAATTGTACTCCCATAATTCCCACATTCTGTGGGAGGGACCCAGTGGGAGATAATTGAATAATGGGGGCAGTTTCTCCCATACTATTCTCGTGGCAGTGAATAAGTCTCACGAGATCTGATGGTTTTATCTGGGGTTTCTGCTTTTGCATCTTCCTCATTCTCTCTTTGCTGCCATACATGTAAGATGGGGTTTGCTCCTCCTTGCCTTCCACCATGTTTGTGAGGCTTCCTCAGCCACATGGAACTGTAAGTTAAATTAAACCTCTTTCTTTTGTAAATTGCCCAGTCTCAGGTGTGTCTTTATCAACAGCGTGAAAATGGGCTAATACAACTCTCTACACTAAACATGCTGCATCTGATCCTCAAACCTAAACATTTCTATATCTGTGACTAAATGAATCAGGAACTTAATCTGACCTCATCTTACATGTGTGGGTACGTGTAGTTTTCCTGGCAATCCTTAGCCCAACTGAAATATGTTTCTTCTATTTGCACACTAAAGTGCTTTCTAAAATTCCCATTAATTTTCCAGTAAGAAGTAAGTTAATTTTCATTGTATGCAAAAGGCTTGGAAAATTTTTCAGTGTACAAATGAGAACCTAAGTGTCAAAATGAAAAAAAAATGATGTAGAAAGAAATTCTAGGCTAAAGCTTATCATATAGAATATTCAAAATACATAACTGTCATCAAATTTGAGTTAATTGATGAGACTGATACCCTAATGGCAATCTTTAAATGTCTCAGCCTTCACCTACAGAAACAAAGCTTCCTTGATACTATATATAACTGCTAGTCAAATAGTATCTACCATGTCCAAAACTGTTTGCTAATGGGCACAAATATCAATGAAACTTTTAAATTTAATTTGTGCTAGACAGCTTTGCCTCATTCATGCACACTTGAACTCTCATATGAAATCTAATAAGACTGAATTAAGAACATGACTGCTAGCTAGGCATATCAAAAACTATTCAGAAAAGCGGGAAAACATGGGGAAACTCAAAGATGGTGACAGGGTGTTAATGCTTAGATGAAATAATATGATTTCAAACATTTAATGTAAGATTTATATTTCTTCTTCAGGTCATAGTAGAGGCTTTCCTCTTCACGAATTCAGGGATTTAAGTTTCCAAAGGCACCAAGGAAACAGAGAAGAGAGCTCATAGAGAAGCCAACCTGGTCTTTATTCTTTGGGCTACTCACTTTACAGTGGTTAAGCTGATTAGACACCCTGCAATATTCTTTGCCTAGAAAAAGGAAACTGATTGTTGAAGATTAGTCAGTCTTTACCATACTCGTCACTTATTTTAATCAAGAATTTTTTCAACGCAAAATTATTTCATGTCTGAGTGCACAGGCTCATGCCTGTAATCCCAGCACTTTGGGAGGCTGAGGTGGAAGGATTCTTTGAGCCCAAGAGTTCGAGACCAGCCTGAGCAACAGAGCAAGATCCCATCTCTACAAATAATAGAAAAATAATTAGTCAGGTGTTACGGCAGGTGCCTGTGATCCCAACTACTCAGGAGGTTAAGGCAGGAGGATTGCTGGAGCCTGGGTAGTCAAGGCTGCAGTGAGCTGTGATCATGCCACTATACTCCAGCCTGGGCAACAGAGTGAGATACCATCAAAAACAAAATCATGTTAGTAAGCACCTCGGTGACAGTGAGATCCCACCAAAAAAAAAAAAAATACTCTGAGGAAAATTAAAATAAAAATTTAGACAGTGATGAAGACAATTTGACCAAAAAAGTGTTTTCATTATCTGAGTATTTCCATTAAAACTGTAGATGATTATGTTAGATGTTGTAAGAAAAAGGACTTAAAGATGCTTTTATAAAAAAAGATGAACTTTGGAATTTTAGGACAGGGCTAAATATAAATGTATTATTAAATAAAGAACAGTTAACACATATTCTGATAGTACATCAATGCTTAAATCTTGCACTAGATGATTAAACTTAAACAGCCAGCATTTTAATGACTGTGTCCCCCAATGTATCTCAAATGCACTCTATTAGCAAACATGACAGTCCAAGTATTTCCATGGCACTTAGCACTTCATGGTGACTATTGCCAATAGTAGAATATAGGGTGGGAAACATGCCAAAGAAGTTAACTGATTTTAAAGGCTAAAATATTGCTCACATTGAAAATTCAGGGTTTCTGTAAGGCTAATTCCCTTGACCCTGTTTAAACTCACCAGATAAGTAAATACATTGTCACCTACTTAAGTAATAACTTTTTCCCTTTATATTATGCAAAAAAGTACATAAGCCAATTTTTCCACAAAGAACATGTTAGTAAAATTTTATGTCATATAAAATCAAACATTTGTTTTACTTATCACTGGAGAATAGAAAACCACTCAAAAATACATTGCTAATCCATTATACATTGACTTGGTCAACATCAATAAATCTAGAGAAAAAAAATAGCCTTTCATTTCAACTGATGCTTGATATGATTTGGCTGTGTCCCCACCCAAATCTCATCATAAATTGTAGCTCCCACAAGCCCCAGTTATGGTGGGAGGGACCTTTTGGGAGGTAATTGAAGCATGGGGGTGGGTTTTTCCCATGCTGTTCTCATAATAGTGAATAGGTCTCATGAGATCTGATGGCTTTATAAAGAGGAGTTCTTCTGCACATGCTCTCTTGCTTGCTGTCATGCCTTTGCTTCTCCTTCACCTTCTGTCATTATTGTGATGCCTCCCCAGCCATGTGGAACTGTGAGCCCATTAAACCTCATTTTCTTTATAATTTATGCAGTCTCTGGTATTTCATCATAGCAGTATGAAAATAGACTAATACAGTAAATTGGGACTGGGAGTGGGGCACTGCTGAAAAGATACCCAAAAATGTGAAAGTGACTTTGGAATTGGGGAACCAGCAGAGGTTGGAATCACATGGAGGGCTCAGAAGAAGACAGGAAAATGTAGGAAAGTTTGGAACTTCCTAGAGACTTGGAGGGCTCAGAAGAAGACAAGAAGATGTGGGAAAGTTTGGAGCTTCCTAGAAACTTGTGGAATGGTTTTTGCCAAAAAGTCTAGGCTGAGGTGGTTTCAGATGGAGGTGAGGAACTTGGGAACTGGAGCAAAGGTGATTCTTATTGTGCTTTAGCAAAGAGACTGGCAGCATTTTGCTCCTGCTCTAGAGATCTGTGGAACTTTGAATGTGAGAGAGATGATCTAGGGTACCTGGCAGAAGAAATTTCTAAGTGGCAAAGCATTCAAGAGGAAGCAGAGTATAAAAGGTTGAAAAATTTGCAGGCTGATGATGCAGTAGAAAAGGAAAACCCATTTTCTGGGGAGAAATTCAAGCCAGCTGCAGAAATTTGCTTAAGTAACAATGAGCAGAATGTTATTCACCAAGAAAATGAGGAAAATGTCTCCAGGGCATGCCAGAGACCTTCACAGCAGCCCCTCCCATCACAGGCCTGGAGGCCTAGGAGGGAAAAATGGTTTCCAGGGCTGGGTTCAGATCCCCCCTGCTGTGCGCAGCCTTGGGATTTGGTAACCAGCATCTCAGCTGTTCCAACCATGGCTAAAAGGGGTCAAGATACATTTCAGGCCATGGCTTCAGAGGGTGCAAGCCCCAAGCCTTGGCAGCTTCCATGTGGTGTTGAGCCTGTGGGTGTACAGAAGTCAAAAATTGAGGTTTGAGAATCTCTGACTAGATTCCAGAGGCTGTATGAAAACACCTGGATGTCCAGGCAGAGGTGTGCTGCAGAGGCAAAGCCCTCATGGACAACTTCTGCTAGGGCAGTGCAGAGGGAAATGTGGGGTGGGAGCACCCACACAGGGTCTCCACTGGGACACTGCCTAGTGGAGCTGTGCAAAGAGGACCACTGCCCTCCAGACCCCAGAATAGTAGGATCCACTGACAGCTTGCACCGTGTACCTGGAAAAGCCACAGACAGACATTCAATGCCAGCCTGTTAAAGCAGCTAGGAGCGGGGCTGTACCCTGCAAAGCCAGAGGGGTGGAGCTGTCCAAGGCCATGAAACCCACCTCTTACATCAAGGTGGCCTGGATATGAGACATGGAATCAAAGATCATTTTGGAACTTTAAGATTTGACTGCCCTGGTCATGCACGGTGGCTCACGCCTGTAATCCCAGCACTTTGGGAGGCCGAGGCGGGCGGATCACGAGGTCAGGAGATCGAGACCATCCTGGCTAACATGGTAAAACCCTGTCTCTACTACAAATACAAAAAATTAGCCGGGTGTGGTGGCGGGCACCTGCAGACCCAGCTACTCTGGAGGCTGAGGCAAAAGAATGGCATGAACCTGGGAGGTGGAGCTTGCAATGAGCTGTGATCACACCACTGCACTCCAGCCTGGGTGACAGAGTGAGACTCCATCTCAAAAAAAAAAAAAAAAAAAATTTGACTGCCCCACTGGATTTTGGACTTAACATGGGGCCTGTAGCCCTTTCATTTTGGCCAATTTCTCCCATTTGGAAAGGGTGTATTTACCTAATACCTGTATCTCCATTGTATCTGGGAAGTAATTAATTTGCTTTTAATTTTACAGGCTCATAGGTGGAAGGGACTTGCCTTGTCTTGGATAAGACTTGGGACTTGGACTTTTGGGTTAATAAGACTCTGGGAATGAGTTAAGACTTTGGGAGACTGTTTGGAAGGCATGATTGTGTTTGGAAGGCATTATTGTGTTTTGAAATGTGAGTACATGAGATTTGGGAGGGGCTGGGGTAGAATGGTTTGGCTGTGTCCCCACCACATCTCATTCTGAACTATAGCTCCCATAATCCCACATATTGTGGGAGGCACCCGGTGGGAGGTAATTGAATCATGGGGGTGGGTTTTTCCCATGCTGTTATCATAGTAGTGAATAAGTCTCATGAGATCTGATGGTTTTATAAATGGGAGTTCTCCTACACATGCTCTCTTGCTTGCTGCCATGTAAGATGTGCATTTGCTCCTCCTTCACCTTCTGGTGAAAACCTAAATACTTCATCAAAAAACTATCAGAACTTATAAACAAATTAATTAAAGTTGCAGCATACAAAAATCAGTAGCATTTCTATATGACAACAGAGAACCATCCGAAAATGAAATCAAGACAGTAATCTCATTTACAATAGTTAAAAATAAAATAAAATACCTAAGAGTACACTTAACCAAAGAAGTAAAAAATCTCTGGAATGAAAACTATAAAACATTGATGAAAGAAACTGAAGAAGACACAAAAATTGGTAAGATATTCCATGTGCATGGATTTGAAGAATCACAATTGTTAAAGTGTCCATATTACCCAAGGCAATCTACAGATTAAATGCAATGTCTATCAAAATACCAATGACATTCTTCACAGAAATAGAGAAAACAATTGTAAAATTTATATGGACCCACAAAAGACCAAGAATAGCCAAAGCTATCCTGAACAATAAGAACGAAACTGGAGGAATCAAATTACCTGACGTCAAATTTTACTACAGAGCTATAGTACCAAAACAGCATGGTACTGGCAAAAAAAAAAAAAAAAGACACATATACCAATGGAACAGATAGAGAACCCATAAACAAATCCACACACCTACAGTGAACTCATTTTCAACAAAGGTGCCAAGAACATAAATTGGGGAAAAGACAGTCTCTTCCATAAATGGTGCTGAGAAAACCAGATATCCACGTGCAGAAGGATGAAACTAGACCCCTATCTCTCACCATATACAAAAACCAAGTCAAATAGATTAAAGACTTAAAGACCTCTAACTATGAAACTACTAAAATAAAACATTGGACACTGGAGTGGGCTGCACAGGCAACCAATGGAAAAATGGACAAATCAGATCACATCAAATTAAAAAGCTTCTGCACAACAAAGGAAATAAATAACAAAGTGAAGAGACAATCTACATAATGGGAGAAAACATTCGCAAACTAACCATCTGACAAGGGATTAATAAGCAGAATACGAAAGGAGCTCAAACAACTCAATAGGACAAAGTGTGACAATCCAATTTAAAAATGGGCAAAATATCTGAATAGACATTTCTCAAAAGAAGGCATACAAATGGCCAACAGGTATATGAAAAGGGGCTCCATCATTGATCATCAAAGAAATGCAAATCAAAACTACAAAGAGATATCATCTCACCCCAGTTAAAATGGCTTTTATCCAAAAGACAGGCAATAAAAAGGCTGGTGAGGATGTGGAGAAAAGGGAACCCTTGTACTCTTGTGATGGCGGGAAATTAAATTAGTACAACCACAATATAGAACAGTTTGAAGGTTCCTCATAAAATCAAAAATAGATATAATTTATAATAGCTATAATACTATATAATTATAATAGCTATAATTGATAGAGTACTTAAAGAAGTTGTCATAAACACAGGCATTCGTCATAAGCCTATGAGGCAGGTATACTCTTATGCTCATTTTACCAACAAGTAAATCGAGGCACAGAGGAAATAACTTGCTGATGGCAGAGATGGGATACAAATCCAGATAGCCTTGTCCCCCAGGCTCTCTATCTACCTACTGCATATTTCCCCTCTGCATGACCTTGGGTCACCTCTTCCCTTGTACCTCTAAAAAGTTGATTCTTCCTAAAGTGGATTTGGATTTATATATGTAATTAGGATTCTAAAGTAGATGTTGGCAAACTTCCTGTAAATGGCCAGATAATAAGTATTTTAGGCTTTACAAATCAAGCGGTCTCTCTCAAAACTCTGCCACTGTAGTATGAAAGCAGCCATGGAAAGCAAATTGACATTAGGTTCCAAATAAAACCTTTATTTACAAAAACAGGCAGTGGGCTGGATTTGACTAGCAGGCTGTAGTTTGTCAACCCATGTGCAAACTATCATATGTAATAATGGAATGATTCGGCTAGCTTTAGCAAGAACAAATTTAGGAATATTCAACATCATTGTGATAGAAGAGATCTTGACACATCAGACTTTCATGTTTTCTGCCTTCACAACTACATTATTTGGGACATATGATGTCTGACTGACTCTTGGTTTCTAGGAAGAAAGACTATATAGATTCAAACACCAAATTAATCCCTGTCAGTTTTTATAAGTTCAAGACAGGTGCACATTTGCACTCATTGCTGTATTTCAAAAAGCTATAGTCTGGTAACCAAATCATGATTAGGCTATCAGGATAGTTCACTCAACTCTATCAGATGCATGTTATGGTAAAAATACTACTCATGTGCAATAATATACACACACTCATACACATACATTTCCACAGAAAGAAAATCTTACACATACATATTTTAGTTACATTTGCTAAATAAAATGTAGTAAACTTTTATTATCTTTAATAAAAATATAATCTGCAGAAAACATATTTGTACCAAGAACATAGATAATCTCCTCCTTAAGGGAGCTGAGGGGAAAATCTTGTCTAATGTTTCAATCTCTGTTATAGCTGTATCTATATGATAATTCAAAACAACTTAGACATTTCATTCAGTAAACAGTCTGATATTCTGCTTTATGTCTAGCACTAGAACAGAATTTCTGGGGAATATGAATTAAATGATTTTGTCTCTTTCCTTAAGCTGCTTATACTTAATTTTGATATATAACATTCCCAAAGAAAAAATGTTTACTAATGATACATATGTTGAATAATAATGCTGGGATTAAATCACAATAATAGCTAAAAAGGAATTAAAAATAAGAATACTATATATGACTATATTATATTTACCAGTTGAGGGTTAAGAAACCTTATATAACTTAAGAGGAAGAAGAGAATCCTATGGATTAGAGTACCAGCAACGATCTGGAATTTCATAGTTGTACAGTTCCTTTACTAAACTTGAAGTGGAGTGACATTATTTGACTGTGATAACTAAAAAGAACAAAAATAGGAAAAATATAATACAAATGGAAAGAAAAATGTAAATGTAAATTCCAACACATCAATAATTATGTGAAATGTAAATGGTCTAAACACTCCAATTAAAAGGCATGATATGCCAGATTGGAAAAGGATGGGATAGTTAGACCCAATTCTATACTGCCTACAATAAAGCCACTTTAAATATAAAGATACGTAGAGATTAAAAGAATATTTTGTAAATCAATGAAAAAAGACTATGCAAATCCTAGTAACAACAACAAAAAAGACAAAAACAAACAACAATAAAAAACCCCAGCAACAAAACCAAAAACTTGGAGTGGTTATACTAATATCAAATGAAGTAGACTTCAGAGCAAAGAATATCACTAGGAACAAAGGCAATCATTTTCTAAGGATAAAACAGTCAATTTATCAAGAAGCTGTCACAATCATAAAAGGTTATATGCCTAATTATTGAGCTTCAAATACAAGAAGCAAAAGCTGATAGAACTGAAAGGAGAAACAGAAAAATCCACAAATTTAATTTCAATATTACTCTCATGATAATTGATAAAACAAGTAGCCAGAAATATCAGGAAAGATACAACTTAAACAATAATATAAACCAATTTAATCTAATTGAGATTTATGAAACACCTAATGAAAAATATACTATACAATCAGGTTAAGTGCACATGAAACTTTACCAAGATAGATAATATTCTGAAACATAAAACATAAAACAAGTTTAAACAAATCTAAAAGGATTAAAATAATATAAAAAAATGTTCCAACCACAATGATATCATACTAGAAATAAATAACAGAAGCTTACCTGGAAAATTCCAAATTATTTGGAAACTAAATCACAGATTTCTAAATAACCCATGGTTCAGAGAAAATAACAAAGGTAAATTAGAAAGTGTTTCTAACTAAATGAAAAAATAACATTAAAATTTGTAGATGTAACTAAAGCAGTAGTTACAGAGAAATTTTAGTACTAAACACCTGTACTAGGAAAAAAGAAGGTTCTCAAATGAATAACCTTAAGAAACTAGAAAAAGAGTAAATGAAACTGAAAGTAGAATAAAGGAAATAATAAAGATCAGAATGAAAATCAATAAAACAGAGATCAAAATACAAGATAAAATGGATGCAACTAAAAGTTGGTTCTTTGAAAACATTAATATGTAATCCCAGCACTCTGGGAGGTGGATCACGAGGTCAGGAGATCGAGATCATCCTGGCTAACACGGTGAAACCCCATCTGTACTAAAAATACAAGAAAAATTAGCCGGGCGTGGTGGCGGGAACCTGTAGTCCCAGCTACTCGGGAGGCTGAGGCAGGAGAATGGCATGAATCTGGGACGCCAAGCTTGCAATGAGCCAAGATCGCGCCACTGCCCTCTAGCCTGGGTGACAGAGCAAGACTCCATCTCAAAAAAAAAAAAAAAATTTAATAAAATTCATAAACTTCTAGCTAAACTGATCAAGAAAAAAAGAACATACAAGTTACAAATATCAAGAATGTGAGCAGTGACATCAACACAAATTATAGATATTAAAAAGGATAAGGAACCATCATGAATAACTTGATGTCAATAATTTGACAATTTAGAAGAAATGGAGAAATCCCTTAAATGAAACTACCAAAACTCTCTTAAGAAGAAATCATTTGAATAGATAGATAGCTATGATATAAATTGAATTTTTAGTTTTGCTTATCACAAAGGTTTCACTGGGGAATTCCATCACACATTTAGAAAAACATACCATTTTATACACAAACTCTTCCACAAAATAGATGAAAGAGCACTTCAAAACTGATTTTATAAAGCCAGCATTACCCTGCTACCAAAACCAAAAAAAGAAAACTACGGATAAATATATTTCATGATGAGAACACATGGACACAGAGAGGAATAACACACACTGGGGCCTTTTGGACGGTGGGAGTGTAGGAGGAGGGAGGGGATTAGCAAAAATAACTAATGGGTACCAGGCTTAATACCTGGATGATGAAATAATCTGTACAAGCTCCGATGACACAAGTTTGCCTATGTAACAAACCTGCACTTGTACAGTTGTTTAAAAGATTTTTTAAACTTTTAAAAAAATCCTTCATAAACATAGATATAAAAATACTTAGCAAAATTTTACCAAATCAAATCTGACAATACGTAAAAATGATAAAATCATGACCAGGTAGAGTTAATCTTAGGAAAGCAAGAATGGTTGAGCATTCAAAAATCAGCATGTCAATATATAGACAGAAAAAAAGAAAAAAAGGATCATTTTTATATAAAGTATTTGATAAATCACTTCCAAATAAAAAATGTATTCTTGATTTAAAAAAAAAAAACAAACTCACACCAAGGTAGGAATAGAAGGGATCTTCCTCTACCTGGTTATGGCATCCCTGGGAAACCTACAGCTAACATATTGCTATGTTAAACTCATTAGGATAAACTGTCAGTTTTTATTTGTAGTATTTATCCTTTTTTGATAAAGCTTTATTGATGTGGAATTTACATATAATAAAATTCACCCATTTTAAGCATACATGTCAAAATGTTTTTAAAAATGTATCCAGTCATGTAGCTATCACTACAATTATGATATACAAGTCCTTTCTTCTATGAAGTCAATCTTCTTTCCTCACCTGCTGGCCCCTGGAAACCACAAATATTCTTTCTGCCTTTTCTAGAATTTCATATACATGACATCATATAGCATGTACTCTTTTGTGTCCAGCTTATTTCACTCACCATAATGCTTTTCAGATTTATCCACGATTTTGTGTGCATCGGTAGCTAGCTGGCTATATTTATTGCTAAATTGTTGTCCATTTTATGGCTGAACCACAATTTGTTTATCTATTGATCAGTTGAAAGAAACTTAGGTTGGTTTCCAGTTAGGGCTATTATGAATAAAGCTGTAATTAATCACATTTAAATCTGCATATGGAAATGTATTTTCTTCTGGGTAAATACCTAGAGGGGTTATTACTGAGTCCTCGCTGAGTCATATACTGAGTTAAGCATTTAACTCAAAAAATAACAACAACAAAAAAACAAAAACGAAAAACTCAGCTTCCAAAATGGCTATTGTACTTCCTGTTCCTATAAGAGACCATGTGTTCCAATTGCTCCACCTCTTGCCAGCCATTGAAATTAGGTTTTTGTTTTGTTTTATGTATTTTAGTGTTAGACATTTTAGTGAGTGTGTAGTGGTTATCTCCTTGTGGATTTAATTTGCATTTCTCTAAAACTAATGGTGATAAGTTTCTTTTTGTGTGCTTGTCAATTGTGTATATTTTCTTTGGTGAAGTGTCTGTTCAGAAATTTTCTATTTTGTTGTTTGTTCATTCTCTTACTGTTGAGTGGTTAGAAATTTCATATATTCTGAATATAAGGTTCTTTACTAGCTATGTTCTGCAAATCTATTATCTTACAGCTTTTTTCATTTATTTGAGAGTATATTTTGAGTGCTTTTTTATTTTAAAGAAGTACATAAAATGTAACAATTTTTCTTTTGTGGCTTATACTTTATGTGTAAGAAATGCCAGACTAATCAAAGGCCTCAAAGAAATTAGGTATGTTTTATTAACAAATTAGATACTATATTAAAATAATGATTATGTACCATTGCCTTTGGTTTCCATTTATTTTTGCATCTCAGATGTCCTCTTGTCATTTTTTTCTTTCTAGACCAATCCTTGAAGATTTTAGCTTTTGGCTCATTTTCAAGCTATTCAAAATAATTCCTTGTCACAATTTTGGTAACTCCAGTATCCAAAAAGACAATTCTTCCAAAACCAAAACCTCAGCTCCTTGACTTCCTTTATTCACATAATCTCATCTCTCTTCTTTCCTCTAGTTGTTCATTCTCATGGTCAACCCCTTCTAAAATCTCAATTTTAAGCATTTTACTTAACAATTGTTAGGTCTAATCATTTCACCTTCCTCTCTGGAGGATTTCAAATCAAATAATCTTTCAATACATAAGAACCTACAATCAATTGATCCTATCAACTTTTCACTGTACCATACATATCCACCCTCTTGTCTCCACCTTCCTTTTGATCCAGCTTAAACACCACGGTCACAATATTATAAAAATTAACTTGCATATAACATCAACTCCCTTGTGCCCTTCCTTGCTTACTGTATTCTCTTGGCTTAAGCAAAACTCTGGTTAAACCCAACTCACCACTTACTCCTTGCCAACCCATGCACAGTGTAAGGTAGCTGGAGAAAAACATAAAACTTTGCTAACTCATCTCATGACCAGTAAATCACAATAACACTTATTTTCCTATTCCATTCACTCTTTGACAATTATTTCACATACTCTTATCTCCTAAAAACTACCAAAGCTTTTACTATTCTAATTTTTAGTAGATGACCTTGTTTCCTACATCACTGAGAAAAAAAACCCACAAATGCCTACTCTATGTCTGTGCCCATTTATTCTGTTTCCCCTTCTGTTACTTTAAATGCAGTGTCCATGCTCCTAGCAAAGGCTAATTCCACTACTTACTCACTAAATCCTATTCCCCTTACATCTATTCATGACATTTACTCCAGCTCTTCCTCTCTACCATCAATTTTCCTTCTCTACTGCATCATTTCCATCCAAATATAAACATGTTTCCATTTCACATTTCAAAAACAAAACACACTCACAAAAACAAACAAAAAGCATCTTTTGGTCCCCGTCTGCATTAGCTGCCATTCCTATTCCACCCATTACAGCAATATTCCTAGAAAGAGCAGTTTCTAAAATCTTTCTTCTCACCGTCATTTAAACCGAATCCAATCAAAACTTTTGCCCTCACTTACTTAATCAAAACTACTCTTATCAAGGTCAAGGTCATCACATCCGGAGGTCAATTCACATTGGTCATCTTTATCACTATTTTTCCATGGTTTTAAAATTATTCACCTCCCCATGCTGACTGTGAACTCTTTGAGATGCTGTATATCATTTATTGTGCTATCTTGAATATTTAAAAAAATTCATTATATGTGTAACCCTTAAAATGTATCTGCTTAATGAACAAACAACAAAATTTAACATCTGAAAATTGGAAATTCCAATGAGAGCACATCATTATTTACTAATCACAAATTCATGTAGAACCTTGTGTGAAAGTTCAGATAAATTTCTGAGGCTTATTTTACCTCCAGTGATACTTTAGGAGAGTATTATGAGGAGATAGAACTAAAAATATGAAATTTTGAAAGCAGATATTCCAATATTTTTATATATGAATTTTTTCATAAACCTTTTTACATTATATCATAACATATTTTATTGTAATTGAATCCTATAAAATGTATGAGTTACCCCTCCACAAATTAGAAATAAAGTCTAAGGACTTACATTTTAAATAATTAAAAATAAAACCAAGGGGCATGACAGGGTGTGATTGTTCTAAAGGGTACTCTAAAAGTAAGTATAGAAATAACTCATAATGATAGCTACACTACCTACTATATTTTACATTTTCTTTCACCAAACAAATTGCTAGGTCATTGTTCATAAGACACTTATATGTCAAATGAAGATGAAAGCCTTCTAGCTGTAGCTGAAGTTATTTTTTTTCAAAAATGTAATTGTTAGAATCTAGATCTTACCTCAGTTTCCAATGAAAATCACCAATGGACATCATAAAATTAAATTACAGTTCATTCTTCTCCATTTGTATTTCCAACTACCGTGTACACAATTATAAAAAGAAATAAAGCTGCACGATTCTTAGGACCTATAACAATAACTCAGGAAAATAATGCGAAGAAATGGAACCATAAACATGTATTACAGCTTCCATGGAACAGCTTTTCAAAATTAAGTTTGAAAGTAGACAAAGCTTAGTATTTTGAGTCATCTATGACTCTCTTTTAACTCACAGCGGCTGAAGTGAAAGTGCGCAATATGTCAAATTAACTTGCTAAAATTACTTTTCTCAACTTTACAATGCCCTTTAGGAACACTATTACTGAGAAGCTATTGTTGGCATTTACAGCATAAAACTTGATTTTGGAAGGCTGATATTGCAATAGCCTAAATATTACTAAATTGAAAACTGTATAGTACCAGTTATTTGATCATGCTACATGAAAAACTTAGTTTGTCAATGATCCACTTTTAGTTGAAAACGAAAAAAAAAGCAGGGTTAGAGTTAGAATGATTTTAATGGTTGATTTATATTTAGATACAAGGAAAGAATAAAAAACAGTATCTACAATTAGAAAAACTTATTGAAATAAACTCATGACTAAAAATGAATAATGTAATATATTCGTGTATTATCTTTCATATACTCATTGTGAGTTAAGATATAAAAAATAGACATTCACATATTGTATTAATCTTACCGGTGCAGAGACATCTATTTAAATAAGACAAATCATAGTGTTAGCCATTTAAAATAATTTAGAAATGTATTCTCCTTTATATTTTCAAGTTCAGTACAAGTAAAATATATCACTAAGGAAAATGCATAACAAATAAGAGTAGAATGCTTATCAGTATGAAATAACCAATCTATCTCTTCAATGAACCATGTAAAGACTTCATTTCAAACAAAGAATTATAAATTGATATGGGTATCAAAAGCAACTCCTAAAAAACAATTATGTCCAAGGACAACAGTTTTCCTACCACTTGCCATGGTAAATAGTATCATTGTTCTTCCACATGTAAAAGAAGCAGCTGTAGTTTTATCCATTTTCCTTTACATGTACAGACATAAAGAATGGAAGAAATACTGTCTTTTCCTTGTCTTATGGGCTTTCTGCAGCTAGTCAAAATATTATTTACACTATTACTTCTCCTTTCCAAATTCACTGGAAACAATATTTAAATCATCTGAATAAAGGAGATGTAAGTTGGGACTTTTTTTTTTTTTTTTTTTTTGAGACAGAGTCTCACTCTGTGGCCTGGCTGGAGTACAGTGGCACAATCTTGGCTCACTGCAACCTCCGCCTCCCGGGTTCAAGCGATTCTCCTGCCTCAGCCTCCCAAGTAGCAGGGACTACAGGCGCATCACTGCACCCAGCTAATTTCAGTATTGTTAGCAGAGACGAGGTTTCACCATTTTGGCCAGGATGGTCTCGATCTCTTGACCTCGTGATCCGCCCACCTCAGACTCCCAAAGTGCTGGGATTACAGGCATGAGCCACCGCGCCTGGCCAGGACTAACTCTTAAACATGAATAAGAACTAAAAGTAAGCTAGATCTGATTCTATAATAACCTTACAAAACAACAAATTTACAAAAATGAATTCACAAATTGAGCTCATACCTACTTAAATATATCGTTATACTTCTCAGTATTTACAATATGTATATTCACAAAGTAAATGTTGTTACAGACACAGAAAAACATCAAGCCCCCCTGCTGTGTTTAAAAATAAATAAAACCTAAATTTAAACCGTGTGTCTCATGATCTATGTGCTCTGCAGTCTAATGTTCCGCATGTCTCTCAGCAGCACTGTTCGGTAGTTTTGTTCCAAAATTTCCATGTATTCAAAATAATCACTCACTCGAAACCCATGCAGTGCTTCTTCCTGCCAAAAATTACAAAGGGAAAATTATTTACTTGAGTAAGACACACAATTCCAAGTTAATGAATTTTAAATAATTGATATACCATTTATTTTCAGCTATAGATGGGGTGGGCTGTTTATGTTGCCAGTAAATGTGTCATTGCTTTTTATTTAGTGAGCTGTGCATATATGTGACAGGAAGAAACTATATGTCCCCCTTAAATAAAGTTTTCTATTTTCAAAACCAAAAATGATTTACAGCTACCAAAAAAACAAAAGCAGATAAGGAAATCTTTCTAATTTTAAATATAGTATCATGTTATACAATGATTGTTCAAATTTGTAATTAGTAAAGACCCTAAAACTTATCTACCAAAGGATACTATAATAGTGCAAGAAATATCTGTTGTATAAGCTACTGTCCATAAAACCTCCAAGAATCTGCAATTACTAATGTTGGTACTATGCACATCTATACTAATTTGGAATTTAATGGTTAGTGTTCCAAACGAGACACTCAAGAATAAACAGTAAGAACACCCGTTTAACAGTTTAGAGTCTTTTAGGGAATTTTATGACCATTCCTTTTAGTACCTCCAAATACAATCTACGCAGTACCTACACTCAAGGCAAAACAAAATATGCGAAGAAAAGTCATCTTTGATTCAGTGTAATTAATATTTATAATGTTAGGAGTTGCAGAGGTTACAAAAACTTTGGAAAATTCATGCCTTTCAGGAGTTTATAGTTTAAAGGCAAGAATTACTATAAGAAGAAGAAAAAAAAGCAACCCAAAAGAATAAAAGACAATGCATATCATATACTAGATACTGTGTTAGAGGCAGTTTATACAGAAGAAACCTCAATATAGAAATAGCTAGGAAAACATTACACAATCTCGATGAGAACAGATGTTTTTAAAGGCTTCAGATATCACTTATCACTTATGGTTAGTAACCATTCACAGCTTGCATATAACTTGGGGTAACTTTATTCTTATTTTGCCATCATTACCAAAAATCTACATAGTTTGAGGGAAAGGTTAGTTGGGACATTCTAAAAAATTAACGACTGATCTACAAGGCTGATATTACAGCTGAAGAAATGAAATGGTGTTGTTATATACTTAATACCATTAAGGCTAGAACAAATACCTTCCAATGTAAGTATCTGAGCTCTAATCTCAAGATAATTGTGAAATTATTTCAATCCTTCTTTCACTTCTTCACTCATTCATTCTCTTATTATACGTAAGGTTCTTGATTAGCACTGAAGACACGAAGATGAGTGAGAAGAGCCCTGCCCTAAAATGTTGACAACTGAGGTGTATATCATGTCTCTGATTTTATGTATAAGTAACTGAGTCAAAGGGAATATTTTTATCCTATGAATAGCAGAAATACTTGGTCTTTGTAAATTCCTGTCCCATTAAAAATATTTCACTTTTTTCTTTGGGGAAAAAATAGGATCAGAGTAAGAACAATCCTACTGTTCAAGAACTCATTTTAAACAGTTATTGTTATAGTCGTGGAACAATTATGAATTTATCCATTCATTTCATTCAAATTATGTGTGACGTGGCTTTAACTACCTCTTCACTAAAACTATACCTAAGATGGGGAGGGATTATGGTAATGTCTTATTCTAACCAGAGACTAAAGATCCAATGGCAGAAGAACTGTTTCAGGACATATTATTTTCAAAGGAATACTTATTGTTCATTAAATACGAATTATAATAGGAGATGACAGCACTTGAACAAAGCTCTAATAATTCATTTCTGGGCAAAAAATAAGCAATATCTATTTAACATCTTTTAATTATTGTTTCACTTTAATAAAAACCACCTAGGGACAGCCACAGTTATAACTCAATTTAAATATATTTTTTCCTCAGAATGTATTTTTTGAAATCATGGTTTCCATTTTAAACATTAATTGTAAATGCCCTGATAACTACACCAAAGAGATACCCATAAAAATGACACATAAGGCTATTAACGTCTTATTTCATAAGAGAAAAATTTTAATACACATTTAAAAAGGAGTGTTTTCAAATGATATAGTTCATTATTGAAAATCTGTAGGCAATTTTAGCTCTGAATAAAATTCCAAAATATCTACATTTTACATTTTGTCTTCAAAGTAGAACATTTTTTCATCTTATCCTAAATGTTCTCTAATGGCCTTTTTAGTGGATAACTTTTACTTGTAATTATGACTATTTAGACTGCCAGCTTATCGTTCAAGTTGTAACAGACTAATTCCTCAGACTAGTGCTTCATTATAATTTCATCTATAGACCAAAGTATATCAAACTCTATATAAAATATAAATGCCTTGATTATTTAAGTAGCAGATGCATTAATTACATAAGGTAATAACACTATTCCACTTTATATTAACCGTATAGTATTTGCTCAAGAAATTTTTTTAATAGATTACTACTAGAATGATTTAAGTTTTAGTTAGGAAGTTCATTTTGAGCTTATTGCATTTCGTTTGTTGTATCTAATGCTAATCAACTGGTATGTTTTTAATAATTTGCTGCCTTCATTAATTCTGAGTTTCAAATGTTGAATCATCCAAAAGTATTAAAAATTCCCATTCTAAACCACAATGTTGGATGTATTCAATATTATATAATATGGTATATACGTAGTTTCCCTCTTTGCTTTGTGTACAGAAGTCCAGTTTCAAATTTCAAATATGCATTCATCTGTTTTCTTTTAACTATTGAGAGCATTTGATTTGGGACCACTGAATCTAGGACATTGATTAAAATATCAGACTAGTCAATGAAAAACAACTTGATATAGTAAAAGGAACACGGGATTTGGATTCAGACCAAATGAAAGGGTTTGAATTCTCCTATGTTAGTTACTAGATGTATGAACTTGGGTAAGTTTATTGACTCTAAGCCTCAATTTTTCATGTGTTAAATGTAGACAATAATATCATATGATTGCTCTCTGGATTAAATATTCTGAAATCTGAACTTCTTACCATAGATTAGGGTATCTTATATGATTTGGTCCCTGTCTCATCTCTTACCTTTCTCATTCCTTCACCTTGTTCTGGTCACAGTGGTCTTCTTGACACTCTCTAAGTGAGCCAGCTCATTCCGACCTCTGAGATCTTGCACTTGCCTTCATTCCTATTTAAGGAGGCTTTTGCCTAGGAATTCTTTGTATGACTTTTTCTTTTGCTTCATTCAGGTAGCTGTTTACCCCATCAAGGGTGGTCTTGCCTGGCCTCTTTATCTAACTGGCACCTTAGACTCCTCCATGTTTGATTTCCTTATTAGAAATAGAATAAGGTCTACAATACTTAAGATATTATGTATTTGTTCATTTATTTGCCTTCCAGGAGAATTTAAGGTCAATGTGGGCAGAGTAGTTGGTTCACGGTTGTTCCACAATAAATAGGTTAATAAGTCCATGAGTGAATGAGCAATACCTGTAAAGCTCTTTGCCCAGTGTGTGGCATACAATAAGCACTCAAGATATTCATAGTGGTCATAAATAATGAGAACACATTTTTATTAATGATGGTCTTTGAAATGGCTTGCCTACATTTTCTTGATCACACTACAGACATATGATGTTAGGCATGGGTTGGCCTATCATGGATTACTGACTCCAGTCTCTGCTCCTCAACCCCTTGCCAGGAATATAAGGGAGCCATTTATCTAAAATATTAGGATGTTACTGGCTTTTCTTGCAACTTCAAAAATGTGTCTATTTTGAAAAGAAAGCTATACCAATACCTTGAAAAGTTATTTGTATCAGTTGATGTTTGCAAAAATACTGAAGATACTAATTTTTAGCAGAAATTTGTTTAGAACTCCTGCAAGCCATGTGAGCTTAAAATCTGAATTGAAGATAAGGCCTTTTGCAGTAGTAAACAGATAAAAAGCACAAAAAGATCAAGTGTGCTAACATGGTATACCCTGGTTTATGAATTCAGGACCAAGTTTAGATATTCTCTGATATATTCTTTCCCAAATATTTAATTATTAATGCCCTTGCAAAATGATGATTTTTAAAATATAATATAGCTCTTTATAAATTACAGAGAAAAAAGGGTAAGGTAAGTTACTTTGAGTGGGTTAAACTGGAAGAGTTGACTTTTATTAATAACACTATGAGACATATAGAATAAAAAATTACCACAAAAGGTACAGAACTTAACATATACTTAACAAAAGTTAAAGACTTGCATTAATGTCAAATCTCATATAGAAAGCTCTTGAGAGAAGGAGGATTTATGAATATAGTTCTGCTCTTTACCCTTACTAGAGATAATCTTTTTGTGTGTTGTGTCTTACATATATATACACATATATATACACATATATATATACACATATACATACGTATATATATACACATATATACATATATACGTATATATATACATATATACATACATATATATACATATATACACATATATATATACATACATATATATACATACATATATATACATATATATATGTGTATATATATATATATATTCTTCTTGATCAAAGTGATAGAAACATAACAACCGGTAAGCAATGTTTCTTCCACTATGTTCCTTCTGGGGTGTTCAGTAAAACTAGAAACTCCTGGATGCAGTCCCTTAAATTTTCGAATCCTTGGCATTGGCATTGGCATTCTGGATTCTGATTTACCAACCAACTCCAAAGGTCACAGTTTTATGTATTTTAAAGGTTTTCAAGCTACTTAAGATTTTCTACTACAATCTGACAACTCATGCTTCTGCCAAATAAATTCTGATTTAACAGGTCTGGGAAGGAATCTAAATACATTAATTTTCATAAGTACCCTAAGTGATTCTTAGGACCAGAGAGTTTATATAGTGTTTGTAATTCTGGATAGAATGTGAAGTTCTTACAGATTCAGGACATAGTATGTGGTTCTTGAAGATTTAAACTCAGCTGAAGGGTACTTGGAAATATGTGATTGTACCAGAGACTTGACTTAGTCTTGGCTAGGTTAATGAGGGAATAGGTCCTGATCAGAAACAGTATAAGAGGGTATTTCTGACCAAGGTGTGAAGGTAATGTCATTGACAGGTATTACTATTACATGATATCTTAAGAAGTCTCAGGAGCTGGAGAAAAATGGGAGCAAAAGTACACCAAAGTGTAGGTATGCACTCAGAAAATTCTGTTTCCTTTGCTTGTATTCTCTACATATCTTCTTCTGTTAACAAAGAAATAAGAAGAATCTAGTAGAGGGATGTAGCAACTTAATAACCGCTAAGTTTTTTTAAGTACTTACTATGTTCCAGATAATGGTCTAAAAGTATTTTACAAATATCATCTCATTTAATTCTTCAACAACCCTATGTGATGAAGAAACAAGCATAAAAGTCTAAGCAATGTACTCGAGCTCACACAGTGAGTGGCAAAGTTAGAATTTGAAACCAGATAGAATCAAGTAATATAAGGACAATGCAGAAAACGTATCTGCAAAACACAGCTGACAGTGTACTGAATACCTTTAAAATATTTGCTCAGATGGTGAACTGTTTTAAATATTATGTATACTTTTATCTTATAAAAGCTTAGTATTCAATCAGATTTTCTCAGTCCGATCTTCATTTCTCACCCTGTCAACATTCTCTGGTAATAGCAGCTGCAATAGCACCAACAAAAAATCCCTCTTGACAATTTACTGATTGAGTTGAAATTAATCTGATTTTTTCATAATTATAAATTGATTTTGTTACAATATGCAAGATTTAGTTGATGCATTTTAATTAAGTATTTTAAGGCTTCACAACCTGATTTTCACAGAAAGGCAATCTTTTTCTAGGCTGGTATGTCAGTGAAGTTTGTCCCCAGGTTGAATTCACAAACTAAAGCCAAGATTGCTGACAGCCTATTAGCATGTTAGAGAAGAATACAACACAGCTCACTAAAACACTAGGACATCCACATATGAACTACTATTAAACTGTCACTAAACCTGTTTGTGTGTGTGTATGCGCGCTACAGATGAGTTGAAAGAATATCCCAGTTGCTGGGATATTACAGAATATTTACTTTGTTGGATGTTTTTCCCCTTGGAAATATCTACAGACTTTCTGAACCATCATCTGTCACAGATAAAAATGTTTAGAATTCCGGGCCCAAGGACTGAGCTCTTTCTTCAGCATATCTTCAGAGGCTGCCTTCTAGCTCGGTACTAATCCATTAATCACCACAGCATGAAAATGATGCAGTTAACTGCTCTAATATCCAGCCCACATTCTTGTTGTGTCTAAAAGGATACTGTGAAACAATCAGACAATGTTTTGTTGATATCAACTTATACCCAAGGCGTTCATCTAATCTTTCAGTGGTCTAATCTGAAGAGGAAAAATAAGTTTTTCTTTCCCCCATAAACCAGTTCTGCCTATTAGTGTTCACACCACCTTCTGATCCAAGAAATTCCAACTTATCTTTTTAATATATTGATTTGGAATCATGAAGAGCTCTTTAGTGACCTATTAGAAATGTAGGCAATAAGTCTATATCCTCAATTACCTCATTTAAAATCTTGAGCCTAAACCAAAGTGACTACAAATGGACTGATATTTTCTTGATACTGAATATTGCACACAGATTTTTATTTCTAAAACAATGCTTTTATCATGTCATTTTATCTCAATACATGAAATTTAAATCAGGAAAAGAATTGTGTATCTTCACTTCCTCAATACAACTGATAATAACTGAAAGTATAACATATTTGTGGTTTTCAATATTTTGAAAATGAATTCTGTTAGGCCCGATTATTTGAACTCATTTATAACAGTCAGATGCTTGATCTATTTATTTTTATATACTTATTCAATTTCTTCTTAAAAATAGTTTTATGATAAAAGAAGTATGAGCTCATTCCTCAAATATAAAATAAAGCCCACATAAATATTTACAACAAAAAGTAGAAGTATCTTGTTTTACTTTATCTTCATTCTTCTTGGAAGCAATCATTATTAAATATGTAGAGCGAGGGGATAATGTGATTAAATAATCTATACAAGAATATTATTATGGCTGTGGTATGCAGTTACATGGGGAATTTTTTTTTTTTTTTTTTGAGACAGGGTCTTGTTCTGTAGCCCAGGCTGGAGTGCACTGGTACAATCATGGCCCACTGCGGCCTCGACCTCCTGGGCTCAATTGATCCTCCCACCTCAGCCTCCTCAGTAGCTGGGACTATAGGTGTGTGCCACCACACCTAGCTAATTTTTGTACTTTTTTTTGGTAGAGATGGGATTTTGCCATGTTGCCCAGGCTGGTCTCAAACCCCTGAGTTCAAGCTATCCTCTCGCCTTGACCTCCCAAGATATGGGGATTACACGTGTGAGCCACTGCACCTGGCCTATATAAAGAATTATTGATAAGTCTTTTTTCCCTCTGTACAAATCTGAGATTTTGAATAGGAAAGTGTAAAACATAATTTCCAAGGTTCAATCTCTATAGCTTCAGTTGAATGAGGAATTCTTAAATCATGTGAGTATTTTTGACAGGGGATGTTTCTAGGGTAGGCAAAATAAAATCAGTTCATTAATCAATACTTCATTATTGGTTATTATATGAATAAGTGAAAAATGCTGTACATATATACTTCACAGACAAGAGACTATTTCAGGGCCAAATGGAGTAGTTAAAGGGATATGTAAATACATATTTAAATAAACTATACCAGAGTTTATCTCACAAGAAAAATGAGTGCCCATTAAAAGAGAACAGTGAATTTTGACACCTACCCACTGAAAATAAAACAACAAAAAAAGTAAAGTTATGGTATCTATCAAAAAAACATTTGTCCTAATCTCTCAGATAAATGAAAACAACAAGGGTAAAAAGTAAGGTTAGTTCTAGGACACACGCTAAAATTAATTCCTTGCCTACATGTTCTTAGTTTGGATTTAAACCAACGCTATTCAAATTTTAGTAATTTAACAGAGGCTTAGGTCATAATCTCCTCTCCCCATTTAATCCTTTAGTTTTAAACTGACAGCATTATGCTGAAAACACAATGGAGAATGGTTTGGGAACATTTAAAGAGGTTAATATTTGCAAACTCTATTATAATTTTTCCCTCAAATAGTCAAAAGAGAGATGAAACTGTAAATCAACATTAATCAAATTTAAAGATGATGCTTTTGATAGGAAGAAAAATAAGTGGTAGGCACTTAATGAATTTAGTAATGTTTGTTATTTGATGTGAATAAAACAAAGTTTATTCATCTTTCCCATTTATTTATTTACATTATTTACTTACACAATCAACAAATATGTATTGAATACCTATTATCTACCAGGTATTGTTTGATATATTGTTGAAAATACATCAGTAAATGAAACAGACCAAGTCACAGTCCTTATAGAGCTTACACATTTTACCAGAGAAGACAGACAAAAACACATATAAAATAATTTCGGATGGTGATAAAAACTGTGAGAAAAACTAAAGTAGGATAAGATGTTAGAGAATTATGGGTTGGGGGATACAGACAGATAAGAGTACAGGAAAATTTCAGACTCTGAAATTCCTATAACTGACCACTATAGATGATGAAAACGTCCCTTACTGAAAATGAACCTACATTTTGTATTCAACATAATTTCAATTTGCTTAACACTTCCTGTATTCCAAATCACCTCTTAGAGAGCATTCTTTTATTTTTCTATCTTAGTTTTTCCTCTACATGTGCAATCATTTTTCTCAGCATACTTTTTCATTAAGACTGTTTCTAATCTAGTGATATATATCGAAAGTTTAAAACCTTTTGAATTCTGAATTGATGAAATAAAAATGATAATTTGGCAATCTTAAATGATCAATGGTATTTATTTAAAGAAAAATATCGTTAAATGGAAAATAACCCTGGCAGGTATTTAATGGTAAAAAATAAAATTAATTTACATAGAAACTGTTTGTTGACCTAGAGAAAGCCTAGCAAATGATGAATGTTGTTTTTAGTGTATACGTGTATATGTGTTCCTGTGGGATGGCAAAGGTAGTAGGGATAAGGAAACATTTTAAGTTCAAAGATTCTTTTTTTTTTTTTTTGGAGACGAGTCTCACTCTGTCCCCCAGGCTGGAGTGCAGTGGTGCGATCTCGGCTCATGCAAGCTCCGCCTCCTGGGTTCACGCCATTCTCCTGCCTCAGCCTCCTGAGTAGCTGGGACTACAGGCGCCCGCCAACACAGCCAGCTAATTTTTTGTATTTTTGGTAGAGACGGGGTTTCACCGTGTTAGCCAGGATGGTCTCGATCTCCTGACCTTGTGATCCGCCCGTCTCGGCCTCCCAAAGTGCTGGGATTACAGGCGTGAGCCACTGTGCCCAGCCAAGTTCAAAGATTCTTAACTGTAAACAAATAGCTAGATTTCCACCAAAAAATGAACACTGGGATGTATTTATATCTCATGTACTTTCTAAAGTCCCCAACTTCCAAAATGACATTATTGTAATTGAGAAAGTAACTATATCTTTTTTAAAAATAGCACCACATTTGGTGATAACTTTTTAAAATGAGTGCTATGATAAAATAATCTTTCATGAAAATCTTTTATAAAAATGGAAGTTTAGAAAAATATAAAAATATGAAAGCATAGGAAATTAATATATTAAATATATTTAAAAAGTATCAAACCAATAAATTAAACTTTTATTGACCAAATAGCCCATAGGAATATTTTTACAATATTTCTTTTTTGGCATAGCATGTGGGTTACAAAGTGTTGGATCCAGACAGCTTATTTCATATTCCAGTTCCACTTTAGCTATACGGTTTGGGGCAACTTAACTCTGTGCCTCAGTTTACTCATCTCTAAAATGGGGATGATAATAGTATCTACCTCTCACCATTGGTTTTTAGGATTAAATGAGTGCCTAGAAAAAGTATCTAATATTAAGCAACCAAAGTTAGCTATTAACTCAACATTTTCCTCTCCATATAAACATACTTACTTTTAGGAAAACTTGCAGATCTTGAGTCTGAGTGTGCTGTAGAATGTCTTGCTGTAAATGTTTGAATACAGCTATACAGATATACACTTGATAATCAGGACCAAGGAAAACACAAGTAGCAATATAATGGCAGATTTCTATCCAATCTAAGTAATTCCAAAAACACTGGGTTATCCATTGCAGGCAAATCTTTAAAAAAAAAAAGTAGTAAGTTCATTAAAAAATTTATAAAACCACATTTGACTTTTAAAAAACATTAACCAATAACTCATACAAAACCAGTGAAAAGCTTAGGGCTTAATCAAAATACAAAGACAGTCTTCATAGATGCCTAAAAAGGATGCTTCTCCTATTTGCTTCAGTTGTGAAAAAAACTTTCATGGCCTTGGAATTCAGGCCTTAAGGGTAACTGATAGTGGTCACACTCCTCATATACCTATTACTCAATGCCTTTTTTATTCTTATTGTGCTCCTCTTACCCAAAACACCAATCTGCTCTCTACAGATAACAAATGCTAAGAGACTATTTTAATTCAGAGATGGGAGTTTTTTTTTTCTATACTACCTACAACCACAGATGTATAATTATGCAGATGACAGATTGCTAAATGTTACATTAATGCAAATGGACTCTTCCTGAATCAGAAAACAATTTAAACCTAACGGAATTACATAACATAAAATCTGGGAGCTAATGCAGAGAATATTTTAAAAATGAGACTTTTACAAAAGGAATTTTTTTTCCTGTTTATTTTTTGAATAACATTTGTTCAGATTATAAAAGCAATGCGTGCCCACTGTGGAAAACAGGAAAGTTTCAGAAAAAACAATAGCAATGACACAGAGATTATAAATACTGGAAACATTTTGATACATCAATGTTATGGGTAAAGTTGAGCCCCACTCAAAAGATATGTCAAAGCCCTAACCCCCAGAACCTCATAATACAACTTTATTCGAAAATAGGGTCTTTACAGACGTAATCAGGTTAAAATGAGGTCATTACGGTGAGCCCTAATCCAATACGACTGGTGTCTTTATAAGAAGGGGAAATACAGTCACAAAGACAGGCAGACAAAAGGAAGACAATGAAAAGACACAAATGGAGAACACCATGTGAAGAAGCAATATGTATCTGCAAGCTAAGATTCTAAAGGCTGCTAGAAACCAGGAGAGAGGTAAGTAACAGTTCTTTCCTTAGCAACTATGGAGTGAACATAGCCTTGTTAACACTTTGATTATGGCCTTTTGGCTCCAGAACTGTGAGAAAATAAATTTCTGTTGTTTTTAGCCACCAAGTTCATGGTACTTTGTTACTATAGTCATAAGAAACAAACACAACTACTTTCCAATATTTTCATTTTCATTTATGATTTACAAATTACTTTACCTTCGACAAAAGATTCCCCTTATTGAATATCTCTTCTCCTTCAGTTTTATGTTTTTTTTTTTTTTTTTTTTTTTTTTTTTTGGAGATGTGGGGAGGAAAAGGGAAAAGATTTAATGGCTTATCTCAATTTGTCATAGGTATAGAGGATACAGATATACAAAATTTCCTTTTGTTTTCTATCATTTTGTTTTTCTAAAAACATATTCTTGAAAAGGTTCTAAAAGTTGTTTTTTATATCCTTGATTCAACCTTTTGGCATGCTGATCCTGCTTTTAACTGACTTGAACAAACTAACACGTATTAGTTTGCTAGAACCACAGGCAGGGGGGGCTTAAACAATAAAAAATTATTTTCTCACTATTCTGGAAAAATCCAAGATCAAGCTATTGGCAGGGCTGGTTTCTTCTGAAGCCTCTCTGAGGCTTATAGATGGTTGTCTTTCCCTGTGTCTTCACATGGACTTCCCTTAGTACATGTCTGTGTCCCAATTTCCGCTTTAATAAAGACACTTGTGATATTGGATTACGGTCCAACTTAATGACCTCATTTTAACTTAATTACTTCTTTAAAGGCCCTATTCAAATATAGTCACATTCTGAAGTAGTGGGGTTAGGATTTCAACAGGTGAGTTTTGAACAGACACAATTCAGCCTATACCAGAGGGTATTATTGAATTTTTGTTTTCCAGACATTATTACTCATATCAATTATTAACCTTTAAATAAGGCTATTAATTCTGTTCTCAGGTGTTAAGAGTTTCCTTTACAACTATAATGTTCCCCTCCTGTTAAGTTCCAAAATCTTTCCAAAGAGCCCATAAGTTTTAACTCAATATTAAATTAGAATATATCTATGAATACCCAATATTTGTCAACAGGCAGTATATATTAAATTCTCCTTGGTCCTACTTTACTGTTTACTTGGAATTAATAGGATGCATCTCCCAAATTGCAACATGGAGGGTAGGTTGGCATGCAGAGTACGTTACTAAATCTCCATTGCCCAGACCCCAATAAATCCCTGTAATATGGCTCTAGTGGACTGAGGAAGAAGTATCTCCTGCTCCCTCTCGACTAGGCAGACTGAAGCAGTCAGTAGTACTTTGACTAGAAGCAATAATTCCTTAATTGCCTGTTGCCCTGCTGCCAAGATTCTCTCTCTGTTCTTTGCTACAGCTATTAATGCCAATCAACTTAAGGCCATACTGTGTTAATGAAAATCTAGAGTCTCTGGATGGATAACGAAGGAGAAACAATTCGAGAATGAAAATAAATACAAACGATCTCCACAGCTAGAGAAAACAGTTCCCACTCAATTGTTAGTTTCAGGAGTGAATGGGAAGTTGATAAAGGTGTGGGGTCTCAGCTTCTGTCCACCATATGCATTGGTTAAAGGAAAGTCACCCTAGAATCTGCAACAGTTCATTATTATACATAGTTTCTAATGCAGTTATAATTTTTTGGCATGTATATACATTCAAGCATTGTTTCCTGTACATTGTCTTTTTCTTCATTAAATGGATATAATACCTATATTTTTCCATCACATGGGAGGGAAATTTCGAGGAGGAAAACTGAGAGACTGTAACAGAAAGTACTTTGAAAAAGTGCTATATAAATGTTATTTTATAACAAAGGTATAGATGTTATTATTTAACAAATATTTTTTGACCACCTAATATGTACAAGGTAATATTATCATTTTTTATGTGAACAAAAGAAATTTATCCCAGTTTCACAAAGTTTACAATTAAAGGGGAGACATCCTTTTTAAACATATGACCCTCTTTGCTTGGTAGAAATTATATTGGCTTTACTATATTTGCAAGTACTTCAGACTTACATTGAAACAGCAGAATTCCAAAACACCATATCCCTGGAAGAATGCTGAGCTATGAGTCATAAATTTTAATCTCTGAGCAAGTAACTTCTGTATTTTTTTTTTTGAGACAGTCTCACTCCATCACCCAGGCTGGAGTGCAGTGGTGCAATCTCAGCTCACTGCAACCTCTGCCTCCTGAGTTCAAATGATTCTCATGCCTCAGCCTCTTGAGTAGGTGGGATTACAGGTGTGTGCCAAGACCCCAGCTAATTTTTGTACTTTTAGTAGAGACAGGGTTTCACCATGTTGGTCAGGCTGGTCTCAAACTCCTGACCTCAAGTGATCCATCCATCTCAGCCTCCCAAAGTGGTGGGATTACCTGCATGAACCACCACACCTGGCCACTTCTGTATTTTTATAAAGTTCTGCAAATCAACTGACAACCTAGAATTCTAATAGGACAGAAGAAATAGTATGTGTCCAAACAAACATGATGTAGTTTTTTCTTTAACAATTATTATGGAATTTTTAAAAACATATATAAAGGAAGATAGAATAGTACATGAACTAGACAATTTCAAATTTTGCTTGGTTGATTTGTGTCTTAAGTTACTTTTCTCCTATAGGTTCCCCTCCTTTCCTCCATCCCTTTCTCCTACTAAAGATGTTTCCTCCAACTGCATAATATTCCATTGTAGATAAACCACAATTTATTCAATCAAGCCCCATTCATGGACATTTGCAGTGTTTCTAGTCTTTAGATACTATAAAGAATACTATAATAACATATTTGTGGATACGTATTTTCAAATTTTTTTCCCAGTGTATTCCTCGGTTAGAGCTCTACAAATGAGTCTGCTGTGTTAAACAATAAATAGACATGTAATTCTGCCAGAAAATGACAAATTACCATTTATATGTCTCAAAAATACATTATTACATTTTCAAAAACGATCAGTTGAGTCTTTATATTCACTGGAAAAAAATGCTATTATCAATAGTAATGAAATGGGCTTATAAAGAAAGTGAAACAAATGAATTTTGTTTTATGGTAAACCACCATTCCATAAATAATATAGAACTAATTACACTTTAAGACATTTAAATAGCTTTTTAGGTTTGTAAGGAAGGAAAATCACTTGCACAATATGCATTGAAATCTACCACAGCTTTCCTAGGCAATTTTGTTCTTGAACCATACTTAACATTATGCCAGAGGACATTAAGATGCCACACTGAGGTGCACATTATTTTATCTGAGGTAAATTATTCCTCCTTGTAACTAGAATTAAAAAACAATCTTCAAAGGTTCTCATAAGAACATTACATCTTCCTCTTTTCCTATTTGAATACCCTTTATTTCTTTCTCTTGCCTGATTGCCCTGGCCAGAACTTCCAACACTATGTTGAATAGGAGTGGTGAGAGAGGACATCCTTGTCTTGTGTTGGTATTCAAAGGGAATGCTTCCAGTTTCTGCCCATTCAGCATGATATTGGCTGTGAGTTTGTCATAAATAGCTCTTATTATTTTGAGATACGTTCCATCAATACCTAGTTTATTGCGAGTTTTTAGCATGAAGGGGTGCTGAATTTTGTCGAAGGCTTTTACTGCACCTATTGAGATAATCGTGGTTTTTGTCATTAGTTCTGTTTACGTGATGGATTACATTTATTGATTTGCGTATGTTGAACCAGTCTTGCATCCCAGGGATGAAGCCGACTTGATTGTGGTGGATAAGCTTTTCGATGTGCTACTGGATTTGCTTTGCCAGTATTTTATTGAGGATTTTTGCATCGATATTCATCAGGCATATTGGCCTAAAATTTTCTTTTTTGTGTGTGTCTCTGCCAGGTTTTGGTATCAGGATGATGCTGGCCTTATAAAATGAGTTAGGGAGGATTCCCTCTTCTTCTATTGTTTGGAATAGTTTCAGAAGGAATGGCACCAGCTCCTCTTTGTACCTCTGGGTAGAATTCGGCTGTGAATTGGTCTGGTTCTGGACTTTTTTTGGTTGGTAGGGTATTAATTACTGCCATAATTTTTGAACTTATTATTGATCTATTCAGGGATTCAATTTCTTCCTGGTTTAGTCTTGGGAGGGTGTATGTGTCCAGGAATTTATCCATTTCTTCTAGATTTTCTAGTTTATTTGTGTAGAGGTGTTTATAATATTCTCTGATGGTACTTTGTATTTCTGTGGGATCAATGGTGATACTGTACATTTAGAAAACCCCACCATCTCAGCCCAAAATCTCCTTAAGCTGATAAGCAACTTCAGCAAAGTCTCAGGATACAAAATCAACATGCAAAAATCACAAGCATTCCTATACACCAATAACAGACAAACAGAGAGCCAAATCATGAGTGAACTTCCATTCACAATTGCTACAAAGAAAATAAAATACCTAGGAATACAATTTACAAGGGATGTGAAGGACCTCTGCAAGTAGAACTACAAACCACTGATCAAGGAAATAAGAGAGGACACAAACAAATGGAAAAACATTCCATGCTCATGGATAGGAAGAATCAATATCATGAAAATGGCCATACTGCCCAAAGTAATTTATAGATTCAATGCTATTCCCATCAAGCTACCAATGACTTTCTTCATAGAACTGGAAAAAACTACTTTAAAGTTCATACGGAACCAAAAAAGATCCCACATTGCCAAGACAATCCTAAGCCAAAAGAACAAAGCTGGAGGCATCACGCTACCTGACTTCAAACTATACTACAAGGCTACAGTAACCAAAACAACATGGTAGTGGTACCAAAACAGATATATAGACCAATTGAACAGAACAGAGGCCTCAGAAATAACACCACACATCTACAACCATCTGTTCTTTAACAAACCTGACAAAAACAAGCAGTGGGGAAAGGATTCCCTATTTAATAAATGGTGCTGGGAAAACTGGCTAGCCATATGCAGAAAACTGAAACTGGACCCCTTCCTTATACTTTATACAAAAATTAACTCAAGATTGATTAAAGACTTAAACATAAGACCTCAAATTATAAAAACCCTAGAAGAAAACCTAGGCAATACCATTCAGAACATAGGCATGGGCAAGGACTTCATGACTAAAACACCAAAAGCAATGGCAATAAAAGCCGAAATTGACAAATGGGATCTAATTAAACTAAAGAGCTTCTGCACAGAAAAAGAAAATATCATCAAAGTGAATAGGCAACCTACAGAATGGGAAAAAATTTTTGCAATCTATCCATCTGACAGAGGGCTAATATCCAGAATCTACAAAGAACTCAAAAAAATTTACAAGAAAAAACAACCCCATCAAAAAGTGGGCAAAGGATATGAACAGACACTTCTCAAAAGAAGACATTTATGCAGCCAACAAACATATGAAAAAAAGTTCATTATCACTGGTCATTAAAGAAATGCAAATCAAAACCACAATGAGATACCATCTCATGCCAGTTAGAATGGCAATCATTCAAAAGTCAGGAAACAACAGATGCTGGAGAGGATGTGGAGAAATAGGAACACTTTTACACTTTTGGTGGGAGTGTAAATTAGTTCAACCATTGTGGAAGACAGTGTGGAGATTCCTCAAGGATCTAGAACTAGAAATACCATTTGACCCAGCCATCCCATTACTGGTTATATACTGAAAGGATTATAAATCATGCTGCTATAAAGACACATGCACACGTATGTTTATAGCGGCACTATTCACAATAGCAAAGACTTGGAACCAACCCAAATTTCCATCAATGATAATAGACTGGATTAGGAAAATGTGGCACATATACACCATGGAATAGTATGCAGCCATAAAAAGGATGAGTTCATGTCCTTTGTAGGGACATGGATGAAGCTGGAAACCATCATTCTCAGCAAACTAACACAAGAACAGAAAACTAAACACTGCATCTTCTCACTCATAAGTGGGAGGTGAACAATGAGAACACATGGACACAGGGGAGGGGAACATGACAGACTGGGGCCTATTGGGGAGTGGGGGCCTAGGGGAGGGAGAGCATTAGGAGAAATACCTAATGTAGATGATGGGTTGATGGGTGCAACAAACCACCATGGTATATGTATACCTATGTAACAAACCTGTATGTTCTGCACATGTATCCCAGAACTTAAAGTAGAATAATAATAATAATAATAATAATAATAAAACATTAAGTCAAAAAAGTTTGGTTAAAACAATTACCTACAGATGCTTGATTAAGCCAAAATAGGTATGATTTATAAATGATAAAGTTTTCTGATTCAAAGACACTATTTTTAACAACTCCTCTGGCTTCATCTGCTTTCATCATAGAAGAAGTACCAGTAAAGTAAGGAAGAAAACTAACTTTGGAATAAAAGTGGTTTCAAGTCCTTACACTATCGGAATGACCTCCGCAAGTCAATTCACTTCATTGATCGTGAATTTCTCCATGTGTCACACAATAAAGGTTAAAATTTTAAATGAAAAAAGAACCACTCTTTATACTATGAAGCAACATGAAAAACGTAAGACTATTTCTGTTGCACTTCTAGGCAAAACACTGTGTCAGAAAATCAAGGGACCTGAAGTGAGGCACATATATATCCATACCTTTAAAGATCTTCAACTAAAAAGAGCAAGACAAAGAATACAAATAATGCACATGTGTTTCTACTAAAAGAGGGGTACAGAAGCAGTGTACAAAGTGTGTACAAAGCAGTGTACAAACACAGAGCAAAATCATCCACTTGTATATGATCCAGGATATTTCCATTTGGACATATATTAAAGGATAAGTACTGACAAGCAAAAATAACTCACAGGAAGGGAGAAGGTATCATCTCAAGGCGCAACATCCAAAACATGAAGAGAGTGAAGACATACACATTTATAAAGACATATGCCTTTATAAATCTGACTCTGAACAAGGGCCATGCCCAGCATTCATATCCTGCTTTGCATTTGTATAATTTTACATTTTCAAAAAGCAATGTGTCACAAAAAAATAATGAAACAGTTTTCTATAATCCTGCTTTCATAATAGGGGGAAAAAGAGCAAATGAGAAAATCCATGCAGGTTTTTATACTTTATATCCAGGGGATTATCTGTGTTAGCCTAATTGTTGACATAGTACAATATAATAATCAAAGATGTGCAGGATAGTGACTCCAAGGAATTATAAAAGATGAATCATTAAAGATACATGGTACTTCTTAAGCCAGGAAAATGAACAAAATACAGTAAGACTTTTTTTAACAGAAGATAAAATTGGTCATAAAGTTAATTAGAATATGTGATTTTCTGTTGCTCATTTAAAAATAATATATATTCAAATTTCTATTTTCTTTCCAAACTTAGTAATTACCAAAAGAAACTATACAACAAATATGCATTTCTTGCTACATTTAATTTTTTGTACTCTAGTTGAGCTTATTTTTACTTTAGAGATCTGTGTATTTCATTTAGCAATCTGCCTACAAATCCTTCACTAATCAACCAATTCCTCAGTGCCTAAAAATACACAACTTCAAAAAGCACTGCTTCTAATTAGATCAAAATGAATAAGGTATGAAATTTGTATCCAAATAATTACTTAATCACATATACCCACTTAGTTACTTAAAAGCTGTTTTCATATTTTATAATTAGCAATAAAATGGTAAATAATATCAACAGAGCAATGATACGATTTCTTAAGACAGATTAACTCACATGGGGAGTCATTAAAAGGACATTTTTACATTACCTTAAAAGAAAGAATAGCATTACTGTTTCAAAATAATGAAGTGGTTGTTATTAAATAAATCTGCTATTTGTATGTAGTTTCAAACTAATACAAATATATAAAACTGATAAAGATATATCCAATTACTAGATGGATAGTCTCTTTTTAATCACTAAATTAATATAGCAGGGCTTGAGGTATAGCAAGGTTTTCCCATAGTCTTTGTTAGTCAAGTTTTAAATTAAAGAGTATATGGTATGTACCCAGTAGTCATTCAGGAGCAGATCGTTTGGTTTCCATGTAGTTGAGCGGTTTTGAGTGAGTTTCTTAATCCTGAGTTCTACTTTAATTGCACTGTGGTCTGAGAGACAGTTTGTTACAATTTCTGTTCTTTTACATTTGCTGAAGAGTGCTTTACTTCCAACTATGTGGTCAATTTTGGAATAAGTGCGATGTGGTGCTGAGAAGAATGTATATTCTGCTGATATGGGGTGGAGAGTTCTGTAGATGTCTATTAGGTCCGATTGGTGCAGAGCTGAGTTCAATTCCTGGATATCCTTTTTAACTTTCTGTCTCATTGATCTGTCTAATGTTGACAGTGGTGTGTTAAAGTCTCCCATTATTATTGTGTGGGAGTCTCAGTCTCTTTGTAGGTCTCTAAGGACTTGCTTTATGAATCTGAGTGCTCCTGTATTGGGTGCATATATATTTAGGATACTTAGCTCTTCTTGTTGAATTGATCCCTTTCAGAAATAAAGATGTTCTTTGAAACCAATGAGAACAAAGACACAACATACCAGAATCTCTGGGACACATTTAAAGCAGTGTGTAGAGGGAAATTTATAGCACTAAATGCCCACAAGAAAAAGCAGGAAAGATCTAAAATTGACACCCTAACATCACAATTAAAAGAACTAGAGAAGCAAGAGCAAACACATTCAAAAGCTAGCAGAAGGCAAGAAATAACGAAGATCAGAGCAGACCTGAAGGAGACAGAGAAACAAAAAACCCTTCAAAAAATCAATGAATCCAGGAGCTGTTTTTTTGAAAAGATCAACAAGATTGATAGACTGCTAGCCAGACTAATAAAGAAGGAAAGAGAGAAGCATCAAATAGACGCAATAAAAAATGATAAAGGGGATATCAACACCGATCCCACAGAAATACAAACTACCATCAGAGAATACTATAAACAACTCTATACAAATAAACTAGAAAATCTAGAAGAAATGGATAAATTCCTGGACACATACACCCTCCCAAGACTAAACCAGGAAGAAGTTGAATTCCTGAATCGACCAATAACGGGCTCTGAAATTGAGGCAATAATTAATAGCTTACCAACCAAAAAAAGTCCAGGACCAGATGGATTCACAGCCGAATTCTACCAGAGGTACAAGGAGGAGCTGGTACCATTCCTTCTGAAACTATTCCAATTAATAGAAAAAGAGGGAATCCTCCCGAACTCATTTTATGAGGCCAGCATCATCCTGATATCAAAGCCGGTCAGAGACACAACAAAAAGAGAGAATTTTAGACCAATATCCCTGATGAACATGGATGCAAAAATCCTCAATAAAATACTGGCAAACCAAATCCAGTAGCAAATCAAAAAGTTGATCCACCAAGATCAAGTGGGCTTCATCCATGGGATGCGAAGCTGGTTCAACATATGAAAATCAATAAATGTAATCCATCACATAAACTGAACCAAAGACAAAAACCACATGGTTACCTCAATAGATGCAGAAAAGGCCTTTGACAAAATTCAACAGCCCTTCATGCTAAAAACTCTCAATAAATTAGGTATTGATGGGACGTATCTCAAAATAATAAGAGCTATTTATGGAAAACTCACAGCCAGTATCACACTGAATGGGCAAAAACTGGAAGCATTCCCTTTGAAAACTGGCACAAGACAGGGATGCCCTCTCTCACCACTCCTATTCAACATAGTGTTGGAAGTTCTGGCCAGGGCATTCAGGCAAGAGAAAGAAATAAAGGGTATTCAATTAGGAAAAGAGGAAGTCAAATTGTCCCTGTTTGCAGATGACATGATTGTATATTTAGAAAACCCCATTGTCTCAGCCCAAAATCTCCTTAAGCTGAAAAGCAACTTCAGCAAAGTCTCAGGATACAAAATCATTGTACAAAAATCACAAGCATTCTTATACACCGATAACAGACAAACAGAGAGCCAAATCCTGAGTGAACTCCCATTCACAATTGCTTCAAAGAGAATAAAATACCTAGGAATCCAACTTACAAGAGATGTGAAGGACCTCGTCAAGGAGAACTACAAACCACTACTCAACGAAATAAAAGAGAATACAAACAAATGAAAGAACATTCCATGCTCATGGATAGGAAGAATCAACACCGTGAAAATGGCCATACTGCCCGAGGTAACTGATAGATTCAGTGCCATCCCCATCTAGCTACCAATGACTTTCTTCACAGAATTGGATAAAACTACTTTAAAGTTCATGTGGAACCAGAAAAGATCCCACATTGCCAAGACAATCCTAAGCCAAAAGAACAAAGCTGGAGGCATCATGCTACCTGACTTCAAACTATACTACAAGGCTACAGTAACCAAAACAGCATGGTACTGGTACCAAAACAGAGACACAGACCAATGGAACAGAACACAGCCCTCAGAAATAATACCACACATCTACAACCATCTGATCTTTGACAAACCTGACAAAAACAAGAAATGGGGAAACAATTCCCTATTTAATAAATGGTGCTGGGAAAACTGGCTAGCCATATGTAGAAAGCTGAAACTGCATCCCTTCCTTACATCTTATACAAAAATTAATTCAAGATGGATTAAAGACTTAAATGTTAGACCTAAAACCATAAAAACCCTGGAAGAAAACCTAGGCAATACCATTCAGGACATAGGCATGGGCAAGGACTTCATGACTAAGACACCAAAAGCAATGGCAACAAAAGCCAAAATTGACAAATGGGATCTAATTAAACTAAAGAGCTTCTGCACAGCAAAAGAAACTACCATCAGAGTGAACAGGCAACCTACAGAATGAGAGAAAATTTTTGCAATCTACTCATCTGACAAAGGGCTAATATCCAGAATCTACAAAGAACTCAAACAAACTTACAAGAAAAGAACAAATAACCCCATCAAAAAGAAGGATATGAACAGACACTTCTCAAAAGAAGACATTTATGCAGCCAACAGACACATGAAAAACTGCTCATCATCACTGGCCATCAGAGAAATGCAAATCAAAACCACAATGAGATACCATCTCATGCCAGTTAGAATGGAGATCATTAAAAAGTCAAGAAACAACAGGTGCTGGAGAGGATGTGGAGAAATAGGAACACTTTTACACTGTTGGTGGGACTGTAAACTAGTTCAACCATTGTGGAAGACAGTGTGGCAATTCCTCAACGATCTAGAACTAGAAATACCATTTGACCCAGCCATCCCATTACTGGTTATATACTGAAAGGATTATAAATCATGCTGCTGTAAGGACACATGCACACGTATGTTTATAGCGACACTATTCACAATAGCAAAGACTTGGAACCAACCCAAATATCCATCAATGATAGACTCGATTAGGAAAATGTGGCACATATATACCATGGAATACTATGCAGCCATAAAAAAGGATGAGTTCATGTCCTTTGTAGGGACATGGATGAAGCTGGAAACCATCATTCTCAGCAAACTATTGCAAGGACAGAAAACCAAACACTGCATGTTCTCACTCATAGGTGGGAATTGAACAACGAGAACACATAGACACAGGAAGGGGAACATTACACTCTGGGGCCTGTTGTAGGGAGGGGGGAGGGGGGAGGGATAGCTTTAGGAGATATACCTAATGTAAATGACGAGTTAATGGGTGCAGAACACCAACATGGCACATGTATACATATATAACAAACCTGCACGTTGTGCACATGTACCCTAGAACTTAAAGAATATATAACAAAAGAGTATATGGTAGAGATTTATAAATTATTGGATGCTTTAGACAATACACATTACACTAACGTAGATTAGAAAAGCAAAAGGGAACTCTCAGGAAGATACTGTTCCCAGTTGAGCTTTTTAGAAGAATAGAAAGAATTGATTATTGAGCTTATGGTAAATGTTTAAACAACTGCCTCTGACTAGACTTAAAAAATTTTGTGATTTAAAGTTCTAAAAAATGTTTTAGGTATATATAGCAAGAGCAAAAATTGGCCAAGGAAGAGTATTCCTTTACACTACATGCAATTCATTGCTATATTTAAATTTCTTATTAACTTCAGAAAGTTTAAAATAGGAAGAATAATCTCATACAAATAAATTTAATAAATGATATAAAGTTTCTTCAAAATAAATATGAAAGCTCATATCATAATATCAAGAAAAACTACTGTCTAATTAAGTGGAAAAGATTCCCTATAGGATAAATCTAAGGAATGCAAGGATATTTTACTATTAAGAAGTCTATTACTGTATCACATAAAAATATCAAAGAAGTCCCAGGATCAACTTAATCTTAATCATAGAATATATTGGTGAAATTCAACACTATAATTTAATTAAAAGAAATGAGATAAAATTCAATACTTTAGAAACCAAGACTGGAAGGATTCTTCTATAGCACTGATGTAGAATAATTCTCTCTAATAGACTCTACTTAACGATAACATGCTGGATAAATTCTCAATAATTCAAGTCTAAAACATATAAACAATTATGTAGAATTATTTTGGAAGAACTAGATAATTTAATAAAAATAAAATGAAACAAAGTACATTAACATTACAAAGATGGAGAAGATAAGTAAGTTGACACAAGTCTAGAAAAAATATAACAATGAATATAAAAAGATATATATTTAGTAATTATTAACCATAGGCAAAGAGAAAATAAAATTGAAACAGATCTCAAACTACACTCACTGGCAATATCTGTAATGAGAAATGTACCATATCCATGTGGAAAAAGAAATGGTTTTACTAGATATGATACAGAACAAACAAATGGAAAAGCTTACTATCTTCCTAGATAGACTGAGTATAATAACACAATTTTTCTCCAAGTAATTTATAATTTAACATAATAGCAATCTAAGTCTGATCCAAATTTAAATGGCCAGTTTAAATTGAGCAAACTCATCTCAAAGTATATGTAGTATATACAGAAATAGTTAATTAACTTTTTAGAGGAAAGTAGAAAGTAAATGATAGGCTTATTCTTACTCAACATTAAGACATAATACAAAGTTACAATAAGTAATATATAATTTAGGAATTGAAGCAATTTGGACAGTTGTTGCTACTTTAAAATATCTACAAATCAATAAGAAACACTCTAAGATAGGTGGGCAATTAATGACATTCAATTAGTTAACAAAATTATGGACATATCATTAAACTTACTAATGTTCAAAGAAACACAAAATTTTTAAAAGGGTAACAATTTTCACCTATTAAATTAGTGATTATTTTTGAAAAAACCAAATACCCAAACATGAAGAATAGGGACAGTCTTCATTTCCGTTAGGAGAATAAAATCAAATTCATTTGATAATATGAGTCACGAGCCTTAAAACTATTAATAGTTACAACTTTAGATGAAGTATCTCTGCTCTCTCAGACCCTGACCTAAAGATTTAATTCTAAAGAGAGATGAAGGTTTAAACCCTACAATATTAATTTTAGCCTAATTATAACATAGTGAAGCAACAATGCACACCTCCACCAACGAAGGACTGGCTATACACAGAAAGAAGGATCTGTGGCTGTATATGACCACCAAGGTTGTGCACTGTGTAACTTGAGGCCCTAGAAAAAAACATTAAGCCTTCCTAGATCCCGACAGTAGAAACCAAGCTGAGGCATACAGGTTAATCCGCGGGGATTTTTTGTTAGATAAGACACAGTATATCATATACAAAACAATGCTGGTAAGAATTCTTGCCCTCTGTTACCTCAGTTAATCACTGGCATTACAAAGCAAGTATTACCATCTCCATTAAAAAGCCTACATGTCATACAGACTTTCAGAAGGTCTATGCCCTGAATAGCTGAAATTCTGTGAATGGTAGAAAGCATTATAAAGCAAACTTACATCATAACAGGCCTGGGGAGAAAAGCTAGCTTGAGGATTTTAAATACACTTTTATTAATTTAAAGGTATTTCCTTATTTGATGAGAACACAGTTTTATTTGAAGACACTGAGATAAAGGAGTTGGAGAAATGCTACTCCCTTATGGATTACCTGTGATGGTGCAAAACCAGACATGTGAAAAGCTGAAAACACAAGAGGCAACTCAGCCTTCAGTAGCATTTCAATATAATGGGTGCTGCAAAAATATACTGGATGGATGCCAGATTCTACAGTGTCATTAGGAAGGTAACTCTGCATAAAAGAGAAAAATTAAAAATTTTATTAATTTTATTATTTAATAAATATAGATCATTTAAAATAATCCAACATACCTATTTTCCTTTTGCTGTAAATTGCTGCTTCAAAATTAATATGGTGGCATAACAAATCACTGTAAATAAAATTATGTAAAGTAAAAAGTCAGAATGTTAAACAGTGTTGAAAGAAGAAATTTTGATAAAGGCAGTGTTATATACCTTCCAAGACTCAGGAAAAAAGTTAATAATTTATAATCTTGGCAACTTAAATCCTTGTGGAAAGATGAGGAGGGCTGTTACATGAAAGAATAAATACACATATAAGTGAGTACACGAGTAATACTTTACATTTTAATACTAAGTGTACTGAAATATGCTTAATATTCTTGGCTTTGGCCAATGATTCTATAATGTCAAAGGATTTTAGCTTTGTCAGCTGTTGAAGATATTTGCATTGTACCCTTTACTATGTTGATATTAGCCTAAATCTGACCCTGAATTAATAATAATTCAAATTGGGAATGATTTGAGAAACTCATCTCTAAAACTGGGAAAGAAGTGCACAAGGCATTCCCATCAAGGTTCTCAGGCCAACTATTTTGTATAAAATTTATGTTTATTTCCATATAATTTTATATTGATAGTTACTTATATATATGTGAATATATACACACATCTATATTTACAAACATATTGTTTATTTTTTCAATTTAGTTCTTAGGCACAATTTATCATTGCAAATGATCAATAATGTACTGTGTATTACTATAAAGCCAACATATACCCATAATAATTGTTTTTTAACAAAGAGTAATAAACCTGAAGATACAATTTTAGGTAAAGAAAAACTGTTCAACTAGCAATTATATCAACAAAAAAAGTTAATCAAATTAGATCTGAAGACTTTACATAGTTAAAAGACTGCCAAAAAGGCATCTTATCTTCTTGCTTTTACTGGACAAATCTTATTTTCAAACTTTTTAAATAAAGTTAATGCTTTTAAATTAAAACAAATTAAACTCATAGCAATTATATGAGTTGAAATACAGAAGATTTATGTAAAGCCTTATTGCTAATGCTAGGATGCTTTTAAGAATTTAGGTTTGAGTTATACACTAAAGTTTCTGAAATCAGCAAGTTGATTTACAGTGGTTTTTCGGTTTTATCATTCATCATAAATGACTTATTTCACATTGCAGAAATATATATTTGTAGAAACATAAATATTTATGTAAATGTATATTTATGAAGGTTTCTCCAGGAGATACCTCACAGCACTTGAAAAAAACATTATTTTTGTGCATTAATGAATGAAGCATAGCACAGTAAATGGATATCTTGTAGCCAACTTTATATCGATATGTAGAACAAAAAGAAAACTTTTTACTGAGTTGTTAAAATAATAATATGGACTGAATGAGAAACAGTATCCATTGATTTATCTTCTTTTGTGAAATATTGCAATGTGTTTCACTAATGACTATTTGTAGAATGACTAAATCTAATAGGCATATATGAAAACAAAAATCAACTCATAAGTGTATTTTAGTTTTTCCATGCAAACTTAGGTAATAATTTTCTGAATACATGTCTAATAGTAGCATAAGAGTTCTATGTATAGGAAATGATTCATATGCAGTGTCTTTTCTAGGCTACATTAGAAATACCTTTAGAGTAGGTCCATTAAGAGATAAAGACAATAGATTTATTAATTATATTTTCAAGGAAAATAAGTTATTGTTATGTAATGGACTCCCTGAATTGAGGTAAGAGTTCTTCTACTCTTATAAATTAGACTCTGTTGGAAGAAAGTTTGCCATACTTTGTGGTAACACAGCTCCTGATACCAAGCCTTGCATAGAATAGATGCTCAACATATTATTGACTGAATGCCAAGAAGAAAATACACTAATGATTGCACACACAGACTGCACAGTATGCAATCATTAGTGTTTTTTCTTTTTGTCATAAAGTAAGCTCACTTATATAAAAAGTTTCATTAGTTGGTCTATTAATTACCATTTCATGCCTCTATTTTACAGTAAACATTGTTCATAAAACTAGATCAATAGTGAGAGCTCTAAGTCACATGAATATAATACGAGGTCTTCTGAATCATCAAATGATAAATTGTTTATTATACTTATAGAGTTTTGATGTAATTTGTTTATCACTCTCTGAAAGGACAGTAACTCTCTGTCCTGTTTACCACTCTCTGAAAAGACAGTCACCACTCTCTGAAAGGACAGTAACTCTTTATCATTCAGAATATTGGATTAATGGAACACATGCAGGACAACAGCATTTAGCATCATCTAATTAATAGTCTAATATATAAACTACGCTAAGACAAAGTGCAAAAAAATTGTCAATAAAGACATTGGCTTTGAGATCCTAGAAAGTGACATAACATGAAGCAAGGACTTTACAACAAAACACTCTTCAGAATACTGTATATTACTTTAGTGATTAATAATAAAAGATTTATGCTTAAAAAAAAACATAACAGTCTTAGTTTTTTTTCTTCCATTATAGATCTTTTGGGGAGTCATTTTATTCCTGATATTAAGAAAAAAACTAGTTCTACTTTGCTATGAAAATTAAATAGAAAGACCCCATTAGAAAGATTTGAAACTCTCCAATTCAAATGGATTCAGTCTAGTCTGGTCCAGTCTAGTCCTCCATCTTTCAGACTTTGTGGGCTAAGGATGTGCCACGCTTTACAGCAATGTTGTAGTTAACTTGTGCATCATGCATAGAGGTAAACAAAAAATTTTGCAGATTTTTTAAAACTTTGATTCTATAATTCTAGATAATATCAATCTTTCTCCTCTCAGAAAAAAATGGGAAAACTGAATCGGCAAATATGATTAAGACTTATAGTCACATATAAGAAAGGGAAGGGGTTTTACACTAGACATCTTTCCTACAAGTGATTGGTCACATGGCTTACATTTGTTGATGTTCTACAAAGGGGTAACAAGTATGTCATGCCATTCTAATAACTGTAAAATTTAAATGTAAATTTATACTTGAATACAATTAGAATTTTTAAATCCACGAACTTTCTGAACTAGGTAATTGTTATTTTAAGAAGAGTAAGGGAAGGCTTCTGTAGTGATTACCCTACATTATAACTATTGCATGAATTTCCTGTTGAACTATATTACTTCATTTGAGCATTACTTTAGCCTGATTTATCATAAGTGGAGTTTTGTTTGTATGTGCATGTAAAATACTCTGGTTTTTATTTCAGTTTAATTAGATTTCCTTTTTCATATGCTTTTACAGAGAAAGGAAATTTATGATCACTACTTTAATTTATTCTTTGAAATTAGATATTTCTACTATGAAAATAATTTCCTGATTTTTTAAAATATATCATTTTATTAATGGCTTCAATGTTAACAACTGGCCAAACTCTGATTCTTGATCAAACTCCATAAAGAATAACTATTTCAACATTTACAAAGTTTTTTTCTTAGTAGCAAAGAATAATTGAAGATAATTTAATTAAATCAATACATTAAAGGGTTCTTCCGGTGTAAATGATTTCAAAGGATAATTTTTCAAACTATTTTTATCTCATATGAGTAATATAGTCATAGTTTATAAAATTTTAAGAACTTCAAATTAATTTTTCATTACTTCCTGTTTTGCTTATCCTAAGCTTATTTTTTTTTAAACCTTTTTAAGGTCATTTGTTTACAACATTCTTATGAATGCAGGGGATCTAATATCTTTCAAATACATTTTCTAGAGTAATAAAAGCTTACAGATCCTTACATATTTCTATTAAAATATTAATTTATGTGGCTCATGCCTGTAATCCCAGCACTTTGGGAGGCCGAGGCTGGCAGAGCACGAAGTCAGGAGATCGAGACCATCCTGGCTAACACGGTGAAACCTGGTCTCTACTAAAAATACAAAACATTATCTGGGCGTGGTGGCAGGCACCTGTAGTCCCAGCTACTCGGGAGGCTGAGGCAGGAGAATGGCGTGAACCCAGGAGGCGGAGCTTGCAGTGTGCCGAGATCATGCCACTGCAGTCCAGGCTGGGCGACAGAGTGAGACTCTGTCTCAAAAAAAAAAAAATTTTATATATATATATAAAAATATATAAATTTACACACTCAACATACATTTATTGAGTGATTACTATGGGCCTATAGTTTGGGACACATCTATGAACAAAACAGAAAACTGTTTTCAAAGGACTTTCATTAAGTGTACAGATAGATAAATAAATATTAGGACTTGATATAGGCTATAAAAAAGGTAAAAAAATAGGACAGGGTAATGAGGTTGGGGTAAGTAGAATTGAGGAAATAGGTTGATTTCTTTTGAGGTTGATTACAATAATGTGAGGCTGAGCTAAAGAAGGTAGACAAGTTTGTACTATCAACAGCTATAGCCAATGTGTCTGTCACCATGCTGCAGATTTGTTCATATTATCAAATTGCATAGAAACCATCACCACAATGTTTGAGACAATGGAACAAATGAAATAGAAAAGGTATCACTTTTAAATAATATATTAAGACTTACTGAATGTACTATCAAGTCAAGTGACATAGGGGAAATAGCAATTCAAAAGATTGTTAGTCAAAAACATTTATACTGTCGTATAAATGTAAGATATTAGTAGCAGCACTTAGCTAACAGTTCTAGATAGAATTCCTGTCGAGGAATCTTAACAGCATGTCATCTGTTTTACAAAGAAGCATCAAAACAAACTACTGGTAATAAAACATTCAACTTGATGTATTTGTAATTGAAAAGAAAAAATGATGCTATGGAAGGCACTGCATTAAGTCTTCACTGACAGTGTAGCTGCATCAGTAGAAAGGTGTCAAGGCTTTACATCAAGAGATCATTCCGAAAACCCCGAGCCAGTAATGTGTCACTCCCTTCCATTCATATATTCCATATTCAATGATGCTATCAAAATGGTAAGTCAAATAAAATTCAAGCTGCTGGAGTCCTGCTTGTTTTCAGTTTTATAGAAAGAAATGCTATCAGAACACAAGATCATTGATGTTATGAAAAAAAGTACGATTTTATAGGCTCAAAGTATAAATGCAACTTTACAAAATTATGGTTCAATATGATTCACTGGTGATGTTTAGATGGTGTCATAATCTGAACACTAAAGGCAGAACTGTTAAGACTAGTGGAATGTAGACATTACTTTAAAATATTTCACAGAAGAATGAATGATTGGACACAAAATCCATACCCATTATCAAAAGATTTTCAACATTACATTTGAAAGTGAAAAAGAGAAAAGGCTGTTAGATTTTTTAAAATCTTCAAGTACAGTTTAAAGGAATAGAATTACTCAAATTCTGGTTAACAGCAGGAAAATAGTTCTACTGATTGCAGAAAAACTAGTGCATGCTTTTTTTGCCATTAGTTTCTCTGTGTTCATGGGAGGAAAATTTCTCATTATGGTGAAGAACAAGAATTGGATGATCTTTTTAAGTAACTGTATATAGCTACTTGAAGCATAACATTATAAAATTTTAATATTTATTGTATTCCATGATGAATTGATTTTATTTTCCTTATCACAAATATATATTGTAAAAAACACCTAATGAATATTTTCATCTCCACATAGATACTTGCCAATCTCCTTAGTTTATCCTTGACTGTCATGTGATTTCACTGTCCAAATGCAACATGTCATGGAAAAGGTTTGAGAAACATTAGCATAGCTGATATTTTTGGCAGTTTCCCCTAGTTGGAAATCTTAACAGCAAGCAATAAACAAATAAATAAAATAAACATAAACATTATAAATTGATTGAAGGATATACTTACCTCTAAAGTAACCTCTGAGATTGCATAAGACTAGTAAAATCTTTTAAAATACATTACGATACTTTAATAAACACTCAGTATAGATTTACAAAATGTATATAATTTTCTATAGAAAATAGTTACAATATCTTCCTAATAAATGATTTTCTTATACCATAATCAGCCAGAGATTCTTTTTAACCAAGCAACAATACAAAACACAAGTCAATAGTTCTCTTTTTAGGTGCAGAATTTAACTGATATAACTATCATTTTAATTTCATTATCATGTTTCTACTTCATGAAAATGCTTCTAATATAAATCATTCAGTTACTATTAGGTAAGACACCAAGTATTTGAGAAAATATCAAATCTATATAATCAAAGAGAATTAGTCAAAAAACATTCAAGTAGAAAAATGAGTATAATTTATTACAAAGTCCTTCACAAATAAAATTATGCCCCAGTGAATGTAAGTATAATGTTCTTAAAATTTCAAACCCTCCTTTAAAAACAGATTGAAGTCTTACAGAAATATGTAGCCTTGGCAACCAAAGAAAAGCAGAAGTCAGAAGCCTGGAGAATTGATGAAGAAATTGGAATGTTTTTTCTTTGTCTCCCAACATTATCATGAACAGAGAAGATACAAACCAGTCATGGCCAGCATAATTCCCTTGCAGGCAGACTGAAAAACACAGTTAAGAAAACTTTACAATATTTTGTAAGATAAAATATTAAAATTCTGTAAATAAAATAAAATGAATATATTAAATAAAAAGCAGACATTCTTATTCTGAATTTATGAAACTTAGTTTTTAAATATTCTTAGACATGTCTGAAAATACATTCTAATGTCTTTATTCAGTTTAAGATTCAATGAATGAGACTAAATATAATGATTACAACTCAATTTAACAAAATTCATATTTAAAATACAGAATAAAATACTGTAAGAATATATCATAACAAATCACTAATATAGCTTAAAGTACTACTTTACTATAAATGTGTCAAGGTATATCATCAAAGAATCATGAAAAATATGTGAAAAAAATTAAGCTATTGTGAATATACTCAAAAAGGATATGAAGAGAAGATTTTATGGAAGTTTGCTGCTGTTTCAGGAATCTCTCACAATGCTTTAAAACCCAGGTAAGATCATTTTCTGCACCATCTTTTAAGAGACTGAGGAATTTGCCATACCTATATTAAAAGCCCACAAAACATAAAACATATCAGGTCTTGCATTGAATGTTTTAAAATTACTTCTTTTAGCATAACTATGTTATACAGAGCACTTATGAAAGATTAGCTCTCAATACATGTTTCTGATGATTATGATATATTTGGATTAACAGTATTCATCTGGCAAATACTGATAACTTTAAAGGAAGATGAAACAGTAATGAGAGAACAACATGATGATATCCTGTAGATGAAACGTATAATATAAGCATTTTTTCCTGAACTTAATCTAAAACATGGAATGTTGACAGGTTAGTTTTACAAAATGTTGAGTCTAGAAGTACCTTTAGAGTTCAAACAGTCTAATGGTCCTAAATGGAGGTGGTACTTCCCTCAGGGGCCACTCTGGAAATGTGTAGGACTATTTTTGATTGTCATAGTGACTAGGGGGCACTACTGGTACTTAATGAGCAAGGGCCAGGTGATTAGACATGGGACAGTCCTGAACAGCAACTTGCAAATGTCCTATTTGTTACTGGTATGGATGAAAAAGTTGTTTATAATTGTCTGAAACTAATTCTGTCTTACAAAAACTTCTGTACTTTTTAGTATACATACAATGCAACTATGTATAAATCAAGCAAAGGTAGTGCTTTTGTAATTTTTCTTTTGTACTTCTGTACTTTTGAAACCTTACTAATAATTGTTCACCATTTTTTAAAAAGTCTCTTTTTAAAGAGACTTGGTGGCTCACACCCGTAATCCCAGAACTTTGGGAGGCCGAGGTGGGTGGATCATGAGGTCAGGAGTTTGAGACCAGCCTGACCAACATGGTGAAAACCCATCTCTGCTAAAAATACAAAAATTAGCTGGGCATGGTGGCATGCACCTGTAATCCCAGCTACTCAGCAGCCTGAGGCAGGAGAATCACCTGAACCTGGGAGGCAGAGGCTGCAGTGAGCCGAGATCGTGCCACTGCACTCCAGCCTGGGTGACAGAGCGAGATTCCATCACACACACACACACAAAATCTCTTTGCTCGTGGCCACACTGTAGTATTTGAGGCATGAAAAGAAAAATCCGTCTGTATTTGTAGCTGCTGGAGTCAAAATTATTTTACACTTGGATGCCAGCTATATCTTATACTGTAATATATTCAAACATTTCATAATAACTTTGCTTATTTCTTACAAATAAGATATTATATTGAGTTAAAAAATAGGTGACTAGCCTGCTTATATTATCTACGAAGTCCATTTCAGAATAGCAATAGGGCATTATAAAATATTTGTACAAAAAGCAGGCACAACATCACAAAACATAATTAAGAGAATCATATGCCCTATGTGATACAGGCATGTAAGTTCAAATTATTAAAAAAATCACTTTCATCATGCTGTGAATTTATAAAAATACCCAGCTTTTTAAACAAATCTTACACGTATCTTTTTAAAATTTGATTCTGAAGATGACCCTATAAGTAAAATGGGAATGTTAAAATCCCCATTTAATAAGCAAGAAAGGGAAGTTTCAAGGTTTCAGTCCTTAACTCTCTGTTCACTGTTTAGCTTACCTGTTTCTTTTCAAAATTACAACTTGAGTATTAAAAATTCAAACTGCAATAAGTTTTTTAATTTTAACTTCTGCATCTGTCCTTCAGGTACTTTTGTACTCATCACCATGGAATTAATCATATTCTAGAAAATAGTATGACTGTGTTACCAACGTGCTGACTTTTACAATGTTATTTTTGTAAAAAACCTGATAGTCATGAGGGCTTAAACACACTGTAATTGGCCTCTGGAATAACAATGAACTGTAACTGATTTACCTAGAGAGGTAATTTAATCATGTGCCAATATCCTCAAAAACAAAGTCATTTTCCGAATGATAAACTCTGCATTTAAAGTATACAAAATAGTTGGTTGTTAAATTAAATACTACTGAGCACATATGAGGCAGATAAAACAAATTCTAGAAATGCACAAGGGAGCTATTTCCCTATAATATACCTGACAGTCATTTTAATGCCAAGCTGCTGCACAGATGAAAGACTTTCATTCTTCACATTTGCATCAGTAGCTAAAGACAACAGAAAACTGAGTTATAAAGTGCAGAAAAGTTTGCATAATAATCACATTTTAATTGAAAATTGATGAAAGCAATATTTTTACATATTTTAATGTGAATTTTGAAAACACTGATGAATTTATTCTTTTAGGAACTGTCAGTTACATTTTCAAAGGAATTAACAGAAAACTTTTTACAAATAACTTTTTCCCATAAAAAGCATTGGAAAACATATTAAATACATAACAATAGTAGTTTTAAAACAATCTATTTTACTTGGCTCTCAGAATAAAAAGAGCCATTGACCCAAAAAGTGGTCTAGAAATACTACTTTCATCATGCAATGCATACATAAAACTCTGAATTACAAATATATACAAGAATGGTTATTTCGTTCCTGATACTAATCTTTAAGTAATCAGTGTTCCACTTTTAATGTATGGTAACGTATGAGGGTAGAATGAATGAATTTCTTCCTGCAGGCCAAGTTTTCTTTGCGAAGTAGTTGTTGTAATCATCTAACCAAAAGTGAAGAAAGGGTTAGTTATATTTTATACTGTAATATATCCAAACATTTCATAATGAATCACTTTTCATTTATTTCTTACAAATAAGATAGTGATTAGCTTGCTTATATTATCTACAAAGTCCATTTCAGAATAGAAATAGCATAGTACAGAGGACTGCAGGTGAGGCTGAAAGTCTGGATTAGTTCTTGAGAACAGTAGAGGACCAAACTAACAGTGAACCCTCAAAGGCACAACTAAATAGCATTCAGGGTCTAGCTGAAACTTTCAATTTCTGGCTGAGAAAACTGTAGCATGCATACATACACACAAACACATGAACACACAGTGCATGCACACACAATTAAGAGACTCATCACATAGTTATCTAGTGGTAGAGAAGACCAAAACCTAGGTTTTCAGAATATCATGAAGTTTTTTTTTTTTTTCCTTCATTACACATTGGTGTTTCTCATACTATCAGTATAATCTATTTCACTTCCAGGCTCATTCATCCCCTTAGTAAATCATCTCTGATATAGTAAGTATGGAACACCATGCAAGAAGCTATGAGGGATAAAAGATAAATCATACCCTAAAAACCTGTCCAAGTAGTGTCAGAGATCAAATGTATATAGATAACTCTGATAAAGGTATTTTAAAGCCCTATATGAAATAGGAATGATACAGATAAAGTGTTACATGAATTCAGAAGATGAAAAGATTATGTCTAGCTAGGAAGAAGTGGTATTTAAGTTGAACCTTAACATATAGATCTGTGTGCCTATAGTAATACTAATGTTTTTTCTCTTCTGGAAAGTATGATATAGATAGATATCTTACTGGTAAAGGATGAGTGTGCAGTGGGTGGAGAAAGGTGTTAAGAATGGGCATTCCCATCATGATGTGTTCCACAGACCACAGTGGATTCTATCAGGAAACACTGACCTAGCACATCAGTGAAGAATGTAATAAAGTTATGCAGCAAGGTGAGAGGAGTTGTCCAAAGGAATTGGATGTGTTAAATAGTTCTTCCCTGTGAAAGAAAAGAGTTCTTACATAGTGGTCTAGTTGTGAGGCCTGAGATGAGTCCTTTCACTTTCCTAGAGTTGTACAAATAATTTCCAAAGTCTAGACCCTCTCTAAAACTTTATGACAGTGTATCTTCAGAGTAAAAAATTAACTCTGAACATTTCAACAGATAATGGTTCTAAACTATGGTGGTTCATCTTCTGAGGGACTTTTTAAAACTAAAGATAAATAGACTCGACTCCAGACTACTAAATAAGATTGCCAAGAGGGAATGTCCAGTCATTTGTATTTTTAAAGGCCTCTACAGCTTATTTGTTATACAATAAAGTTGAGATTTACATTTGAAGGAATAAAAGTTAAATTTAGATAGAGTTACAATTGGACAGTTATACAACACTATCCAAATTTCACTTTAATGTAGTGTAGCAAATTCTCAAAAAAGCTTTTAAATGAGAATATATGGAGGTGTTGGCATACCAAAACAAACATCGAACATCCATTTTAAAAAATCACTGATGTGAAAGAGATGTATATAACTTTGGTATGAACAAAACTATGCAGATAAAAATATGCAAGGAATAAAAACTTCCCCAAAGCAGCAATGAAGACATCAGAAAATGGGTTAGGGGCATATATTTAAAAAGGGGCTTCAAGTCAGGCTTGGTGGCACAAGCCTGTAATCCCAGCACTTTGGGAGGCTGAGAGGGATGGATTACTTGAGGTCATGAGTTCAAGACCAGCCTCGCCAACATGGTGAAACCTGGTCTCTACTAAAAATACAAAAATTAGCCAGGCGTGGTGGCACATGTCTGTAATCCCAGATGCTTGGGAGGCTGAAGCAGAAGAATTGCCTGAACCTGGGAGACAGTGGTGGGAGTGGGCTGAGATCATGCCACTGAACTCCAGCCTGCGTGACAGAGTGAGAGTCCATCTCAAAAAAACAAAAACAAAAAAAAGAGGTTTCCATTTTAAATTTGTATTATATTTGATATACAGTATCAATATACAATAAATCACTGTATATCATTGATACACAATGATAACTTAGCAAGCAAATTTTATATTCCAAATACATCTCAGACAACAAAAGTTAGGTGGAAGAAACTTTTATTATACAAAACTCTGGACTACATTAACTTATAAAGCAGGAACTGAAATCTCAAAAATAAAATCGATGGGGAAAAATGAATAAGTAAAATTAAATAATTTTAAAAATGGACGTCTTCAGAGGATTTTGATCCATATGCATGGCTGGTAACGAGTAATTAATTGATCTAGGAAAAACAGTGTGTAGGATACATAACACATACTTAATAAACAATGAATGAATGAATGAGTAAATGAATGAACCAACATCCAATGAATAGCAACAAAAGAAATTATACTTTAAATATCAAACTAGAAGCAAGATGGAGAAGAAAACAGACATAGACTTAAAAATATTTTCTGTATATTAAAATCAAGTAACACATAGAAGAGATAGCTCCCACTCCCTGAAGTCACTGTGAAAAGAATAATGAAAAGAATAATGTATGATGCTGTACATGCTAATGACATGTATAGCATCATACTTACCCACTTACTAACAATGCTTAATTCAATCTAAGCTAGAGTTAATCATTAAATTATTCAAAATAACCAATACTTTTAACTATAAATGCAATAGTTTCAAAATAAAATGAGTTGACAAAATTTATGTCACATGAACTGATATCACTCAGTGTGGGTCATGCATTCTGTTCTGTTTTTGGTTTGCAAAGCTAGCACATACAACAGCAGTAGAAGAAATTAAATCTATTCTGCCTGGCACCTAATAGTATGGAAAAAAATAAATTTTCAGAAGAGTAAAGAATTTCTCCACTGGAGGACAAATCCATGGTTGGAGAGGCAGTTACTGGTTGGCTGCTTACTGACTCTCCTAATGCCCTCCCTTACCTGTCCTAACTTAAGAAAACTCTTACTACCCAAAGGAATCAACGGACTACATTTCTTCCTCCCTGCTTCCTTTCCCAAAGTCAGTCTGTAAGTTCTGTTGCTTCTTTTCTAATATGTAATTGTATCCATGCATTTTATTCAGTTCTTACTACCACAGAATTCAGTACCTTGTGACCAGTCTACTGTACATGTCTCAGCCTCCTAATTGATGTAGTCAGTGTAATTTGGGAAAAATAGCATTTCCATGTCTTGATTATGCAATTACCCCTGCCTGGAAGACTTTTCCCCTCTTCTCTTGCTTATTTCCATTCTAATATCCCAGGAGGCAGCACAAGTACTACGCCTGCTCTCTATTAACGCTTCCTCCTCTTATTTTCCATGATGGCACCAATTTGACACTGATGTCATTTTCTACTGGACACCTGTGGCCCTTAAAATAAAACCCTTCATTGACAATTACCAAATTCAAATAGCATATTAAAAAGCACATTGCCTGAAACCAAGTAGCCAGCTGAAAAACTGTTTCTTTTATTTTCTACCTTACTATATGCTGCAATTTGTTTAATTCCTAATTTTAGGTATATGTCCTATTTTTCCTTCCTGAGGAAAGGTTCATATTAAATATCTCTTTGCAATTATCACACACTGTGCTTTACTCACAAACGTTTCATAAATGTAAGATAGAAGAGAGCATTTTTGCTTTTCAAAGAAAATATAAAAGGTGTTTAAGAATATTTAATTAAATTTAAAACTATATTTTAATAATCAAAAGGTGAAACAAGCAAAATGTTGATTTTTTTTCTAACATTTTGATTAACTAGCATTACGAAGAGAAAAGAAATAAAAATACACATCACCCTGAAAGGGCCATTTAATTTATCATTTCAAAGAAGCAATTACACTAGAAAAAAATTCCCAACTTGTTCCAGGGAATTGAACCAACAAAAAGGAAATGTCTGTTAAGATATGGAAAGATACCTATATGAATTTACAAACTGCAAATGTGCAGAAGTTTATCTGTTTGTTCTTTCCTCTTTCTTTAAAGGGATAAACAGCCAAACTAATTTGATTTTTCCAGATTTGCAAATTTTATAATGGATTGAAATCCTGAGGGAGCTAACAACAGATGGATGATTGTGTAATTCTAATTTCAACTACCTTAGGGTTTAGAAGGCTGTCTGTCATTTCTTAAAAGATAATCAATTTCTCATTTCCAGAAACCTAAAAAAACATTGAATACATCTATCCAGTATTTGTTTTAAAACATTTTATATCAAAACAATTTTTAATTTAAAGCAAATACAGTGAAATTCTATAATAAAAAAATCATTGTTCCACCAGCCAAAAAAATACTTGATAAAGGATGAGAATACCTAAAGCCTTGGGAAGAAAACAATGTACTAGCAACAAGCTCAGTATATCAAAATAATAAATATTAAACAATCAATCAACAGAAAGTCACTTCATTTTTTGGCTTTACTATAAGACTGGTGAATAGCTTCAGCTGGAACCTTTAAGGAATTTAAATCCGCATTCAGGGTTTATCTGCCTAGCTAATACATTCAACAAAGCCGACATCTGAGATCTCACTCGGCATAATTTAGAAACATAACAGAGGGCAGTAACGCATGCACACTGAGCAATCAGTTTTGCTGAATATTTAGGTAATATATACAATATAATTTTAATTTTAGATTTTCTACAGAAAATATGGTCCAATAAAGCAATGTGAAAAAGAGAGCTATACGAATTGGAGATTATTATGCTTAAGTCTAAAGAAATGCCCACTTTGGTCATGCAAATTTCCATGACTATCACACTTCTTACTCATTTCCTATTACTTCCCAACTTAACCATTAATAGCTGTATGTTTTTCACATAAATTTTTATGTTCATTCATAAGTTCATAATTTTCTTCACAAATGCTTTCCTTTAAAATCTCTTCCCAATTTATGTTTTCTTTCCTCTATGCCTCAATTTCCTCATTTTAAATATGATGATTATGTCTAGTTCAGAGAACAGTTATAGGGTTGAATGACACAAGGTATATCAAGTGCCTCAACATAATACCTAATTTAAAAGAGGTGATCAATAGATATCAATTCCTTTCACCTACCTTAACTTTCGTTTAATAGTATCTTGTATTTTCTTCTCATTTCTTTGTTTTAATTCTCTTAAGTCTCTTTTACCCCTTTCCCAGGTTTGCATTAGATATCATTATGTGTAAATAAATATAGGGTCATCTGTATATTCACATGTATCTAATTATGTGAATTGTTAGATATTTAGAATTGTTACAGAACTATAATACGTTTCTTTGAATATAGATGTGAATATAGTATGTGTATATATATATAATTAAATCTCATATTGAAGATACAAAGGAGTTTGACACCTAATGTAACAATTTAGCCATATACAATATAATAAAACTATCAAAATGGTAGTTTAAAGTGAATGCAGTAGGAGCAGAGAAGAGAGAATCCTGCTTAGGAATAAGAGAGGTTACATTCTAGCTGAAACTTTACAGGTGAGTCGGGCATTATCATGTGGATGTCATGGAGAGGGAAGCATCCATCTAGAAGGAACAACAGGAGCAAAAATTTAGTGAGGCAAATGCGCAGAATGTGTTTGGGCAGTTAATGGTAATAAGGCTAGAAAGATATGTCTAACTTGAATAAATAACACATATTTGAATGATGGTTTCTTCAGCAAAAGAAGAAATCATATCACCCTTACAGGAAAGATGATCTGTTATCAGTAGTATATGCTAACTCTACTTTCTTCACTGTCTCTTTATTCACTGCCCCTTAAGTATTGGATATTCATCCGTGGAAAACTTCATTTCTGTACTCCATTTTTTTCCTTTACACAGTTACTATTATCGAATAATCTTTGTAAGGTACAGGTGAATCAAGTAAAGTTTCTGCTCAGAAATCTTAAATGGTTTACTCTATTGCCTATTAAATTAAGACACTAATTGACACATTTTATAAAGCCTTCCTCCATCATTCTTTTATCCATTCTTTCCTTTATTTGACAAACATTTATTGACGTTATTGTTCTAGGTGCAGAGAATGAAATGATAGGTAAAACACAAAAACAACCCTAAAGAAATTTACAGGAATGAGAAGAATTAGACACTAAGTCAGAATTTGAGAAAGAAATTACAATGAGATGTATTGGCTTTATATACCAAGCTGATGGCTTAGTAATTTGTATTTGTAGCCCACACTTTTCCTCTAAACTCGATTCACATGTCCAGAATGTATAAAGCATATTTACTTGAATGTCCAACAAGTATCTCAAACAACAAAAAAGCCAGCACCTAATCTCCCCTTCCTTTCCTATTCTTCCTCTCAATGTACAATCATTCCATCCTCCTAGTAACTCAGAAAAATAGCCTGTTGTCCTCCTTGACTTCTTTCTTTCTCTCATACCCCACATTCAATCTGTTAACCAATTCTGTTGGCCCTATCTTTAAAATATATCCAGAATCCAAAAACTTCTCACCGTCTCCATTACTGACATCCTCATCTCAGCCATTCCTGTTTTTCAATAGCCTCTTAACTCATTTCCCTGCTTCAGTCGTTTCTCTTCCTTCAGTCATTTCTCAACACCACAGCCACAATGCTCTTATAAAATGCAAATTAGGATGTCATGCCTATGTTCAAAACCCTGCAATGACTTTCAAGATCCTGTATCATGCTCTCCTATCTGACTTTTAACACCACCAATTCCTCTCCTTTACTCCTTTCTAGCCATATTAGTCTCCTTTGTGGCCATTTGTTAGCACTCTCTTGCCCTGAAAATACCCATATATCTTGCCTGCACATCCCCTGCTGAAGTGTGGTAAAAAAAAAAGAAAAATGCATCATCAATAAAACTTTATATGAAAACTATTTAATACTTTAATCTTCACTCCTAACTAAAACTTCCCAGATCCTTTTTCTGTTGTGTATTTCCTCATTTATCATTACACCTTTTAACTTACTGAATATTCTACTTATTTTCTGTCTTCCCACTAGAAAGTAAACTCCATGAGCAGAAGACTTTTTCTGTCACAGTGTCAGTACCTAATACAGGATAATTTGTTGCATAATGAACACATGTGTGTCTGGGACAGGGGGTAGTTGGGAGTGATGTGAAGAGTTTAGTGTTCTGCATGGAAAGAAAGTATGATGCTTGAGAAAAGGAAGGGGCAGGATAATGTAAGATCATGGGTACCATGATAATAAGCTGAGACTTTATGCTATGGTCAATGGTGAGAAATGGCAGAGGAATGAGTGGGTTAGATTTACATGTCAAAGATCACTCTGAGAGCAGTGTAAAGAGCACCTTTGAAAAAGAACCAGACTCCAAGTAGAGATATCAACTAAAAAGGTTATTATGACAACTTCTCTTGTTACAGATCTTAATGGAAGAGCTTTCTATTTTTCCTCACTCAGTATGATGTTAGCTGTGAGTTTATCACATATGGGCTTTACTGTGTTGAGGTATGTTCCTTCTATACCCAATTTGTTAACAGTTTTTTATTATAAATGATGTTGAATTGTATCAAATGCATTTTCAGCATCTATTGAAATGATTCTACAGTTTTTCCCTGGATGATCTATCCTTGGCCAAAAGTAGAGTGAAGTCCTCTACAGCTGTATTGCAGTTAATCTCTCACATAAAGTCTAGCAATATTTGTTTTATGAATCTGGGTGCTCCAGTGTTAGGTGCATGTATATTTATTACTGTTATATCCTCTCACTGAAGTGATCCCTTTACCATTATATAATGACCTTTTTGGTCTCTTTTTATAGTCTTTGCCTTAAAGTCTATTTCATCTGATATAAGTATAGTTACTCCTATCCTTTTATGGCTGCCATTGGCATAAAATATCTTTTTCCATTACTTCATTTTCAGTCTATGTGAGTCTTGATAAGTGGAGTGAGTTTCTTGTAGAAAGTATATAGTTAGGTCCTGTTTTGATATTCAGCCATTTTGTATCTTTCAATAGAAAAATTCAGTCTGTTTACATTCAATGTTACTATTAATAATAACCATTTTAATACTTGTTTACTAGTTATTGTGTGACTCCTCTCTTCCTCTATCCTTTCTTACTACCTTCTTTTGCATTTATTTTTTTCTGCTAGTATTTTTTTTGGGTATCTATTATAGGTTTTTTTTTGTTTGTGTTTACCATGAGGCTTACAAAGCCTTCCTATAGTTATTATGATGTTATTTTAAAAAGATAACTTGATTGCAAAAACAAACAAAAAAAACTATACACATTAATTCCTTTCTACCACCATTTTGAATTTTTGACTTCACAATTTATATTATTTATATTGCCTATCCCTTAAAAAATTGTTGTAGTTATCAGTTTTTAATAGTTTGTCTTTTAGTCTTCTTAGTAAAGATTAAGTGGTTAACATACCATGACTAAATATTAGTGCAATAATCATGTTAGCATCCTTTTCCTTCCATTTTAAAACTCCCTTTAGCACTTCTTGTATGTAGGTCTGAAAGTGATAAGTTCCCTCAACATTTGTTTGTCTGGGAAAGTCTTATTCTCCTTCATTTCTTAAGGATAGCTTTCCTGGATATGGTATTCTTGGTTTACATGTTTTTATTTTTTACTTTTTTTTCCCAACATTTTGAGTATATTGTCCTACTCATTCTTGTCCTGTAAAGTATCTGTTGTCAGGCATATTGGAGCTCCCTAATATATTATTTGCTTATTTTCTCTCACTGTTTTCAGGATCTTCTCTTTGTCTTTGACTTTTGAGAGTTTGATTATAATATGTATTGGGGTATTCTTATTTGAGTGGAATCTAATTGTTGACCTTTGACCTTCTTGTATCTAGTCATCTGTACATTTTTCCAGGTTTGGAAATATTTCTGTTATTTTTCCTGGAATAAACTTTCTAGCCCTTGTCTTTCTCAGTTCTCTCTTTAATTACAATAACTCAAATCTTTGTTTTTTTGATGTTGTTATATATCCTATAAGCTTTCTTTATTCCTTTTCATCATTTTTTCTCCTCAGACTATGTATTTTCAAATTGTCTTCAAGCTCACTGATTTTTTTTTCTTCTGTGTGATCAATTCTGCTGTTGATGCTCTTTATTACATTTTTTCATTTTCCTTTCAATCATTGTATTTTTCAGTTCCAGGATTTCTGGTTAATTTTTAAGAATGATTTCAATCTCTCTATTAAATTTCTCTGATAAGTTTCTGAATTGATCTTAGTGTTTTCTTGAAGTATGTTGAACTTCCTTAAAACAATTTAGAAATCTTTGTGAGATCACACATCTCTGTCATTTTATGATTGGTCTTCGGCATCTCATTTTGTCCATTTGGTGAGGTCGTATTTCCATGAATGTTCTTAATACTTGTGGACACCCGATGATATCTACATGCTGCAGAATTATGTATTTATTTTACTCTTTGCAGTCTAGCTTTATTTGTGCCTATCTTTCTAGAGGGCCTTCCAGGGATTCTAAGCAGACTAAGCAGACTGAGCCTGCGACTATTGTACCCATCTAGAGAACATTCTAAGCCCAGGCTTGCTGCATGTTTTGCAAGGCCTGAGATTGACATAGCTTTCCAGCCCAGAAAGACATGGGGAAGATCCAAAGAGAGCACTGGAGCTATGCAGGAACTCTGGCCAGGAATCAGAGTCCAGATGACTGTAAGCCCCAGATAGGTGCGCTTCCCAGCAGGTCTCTGTATAAGGAAGACTGGAGTTGAGACTAGGCCCCTCGGTATCTCCTGTAGGAAGGAGGCTGATAGGCTATCTCGTTGGCTCAGACAGGGATGTGTAAGCCAGCAGGTCTCTGCACAAGTGGGGGTAGTTCCTCAGTTGCAACGGGGGGGTCAGAGCTGATACTACGCTCCTCAAGATCTGCTGTGAGATGGAGCCTCATGTGCCTATCATGCTGGCTCAGATGTGCACACATCTCCTAGCAGGTCCCTGCACTGAAAAGACAGCTCCCCAACTGCTGTAGAAGAGACTAGAGCTGATACTAGTACCCTAGGGATCTGCTATGAGATAGAAGCTGGAGAGACATGTCTCAGCTCAGAGGTGTACATGTCACCCAGTAATTCCCTGCACAGTTAAGATTGCAGCAGAAGAAGCCAGGGCTGAGACTGGGCCCTCTGAGTATCTGCTGTGGGACACAGGCTAGCATGCCCATCACACCGACCCAGACAAATGCATGTATCTTTTGTGAGACATAGTGAGTTTGAGGGATTCTGTGGCATATCCAGGTGATGTTTACTTACTAGGCCACTGGAAATACAAGAATAAAGCCTATAGTAGATCTTTGAGTGAACGATGTAAATTTTGAAATCATCAATATATGAGAGATAGGTAAAACAGTATAAGCAGAGGAGACCACTAGGGAATAAATGATAGAATCAGAAGAATAGAAGACATTGCTTAAGGCAAAACAACTTTTAGTGGATAGAGAGAGAAAAAGAAAGCTCAAGAAAGAATCACAGAGTTACAAGGAAACCTAGACATTTACAAAGAAAAGAGGCTTAATGATATCTGGAATGTATATGGCACCAAGTAAGAGATTGTTAGGATGAGAAAACTGCCTATCTGTAATATCATTACACATCTCCATTAATTATCTAGTTACATACTGAGTCTTTTTCAAACTTCACAATGTTTAAAATGTACCTGTATACTCCACTGAAGGGAAGTAGCATTCAGATGGGCTTTCAGTGAGATGAAGCACAAATTTTTCAAGTAATTCTATTAAGGCTGTAATAAACAAAGGAATAATTAGGATATTAAAGGTCAGAATAATATGTGACAATGCATCCTTAAATCACAGAACTAGTAGGTAAAAGTCATCTGAACTTCACAGATACACTCTAAGGGAGTTCAATTCAAATGCGTACTGTTTTAGTATTCATAACACTGTTTCTGATGCAAATTAAACTTTAATAGCTTAGCTAAGAACCTAGTCAATATAAAACTGAAAAAGGATCATCTGTTTTCTTTAGATCCTCTAAGAATTATTTCAGAATTTGCTAAATGATTTCAAAACTGAAAAAAAAAATCACTAATTATGCTATAATACCTTACCTTTGTTCTTTATGCATAACAAAAAAAAAGTATTAGTGGGTTCTAAGGCTAGGATCAATGCATAGCTCATTCAAAATCAGGACATATTATATGTTTTATATGCTTTGCAACTGACGGTATCTATTCAAGGCAACCAATATCAAAAGAAGGCTTGACCTATCTGGCTTGGAAGTGATAAAATGGTTATTTTCTAGGCTGGTTTGATAATGCCACTAGGCTTGCATCTAATACCCCTGAAATGGATATAAACAGGTACAATATAATTAATATGCAACCCAGAGTTTGTTGTGGTTTTGAGTTTTTTGTTGTTGTTGTTGACAATAAATAAATTTGTAGAGTCAATGTTATGCTTTAAATAACAAGTACACTTTACTCACTATGTAAAATTGTCCCTTAATTATATCCAGGATATTAACTCTAACCTATATTAACTAAATGAACCCTATTCCACAAACAAGTACATTTTAAGAATATAATTCTTGGAGAACAATTAGTGTTCAACAGGTGAAAAGTCCAAAATCAAAGAGGAATAACATATGCTTTTCAGCAATTGTAGCTGACAAGCTCTATCTCATAATATTTTAATGGCTTAGGACAAAAATGAAATGATTTTATTCATTGAACTCTATTCATATGATGATTTCAAAGTTGAATAAGTATTAAAAGTATAAGAATCCAATTGTCAAGGGTCAGAAAGGACATCAGTATTGTAAGCTATTTATGTTTATAGTTGCTTAGACTGGTTCTATCTTCATGTGTAGACACAAATTTTGCCATATTTATAAAAATGTTTCAAGTCTCTCTTCTATGAATTAACAAATTAAATAGCCCTCAGGTGAGAGCATTTCAATTCTATGTGTACAAACTTCTTTCTTTATAAATCACTTAATACTGTCTCGAGATTATAAATTTTACAGAAAGAACAATGTCTTGATGAAGTTCAGATATAATCATTCTTAGTTTAATGATAATAATTTAAGATGCAAGATATACATTAGTAACAAAGGTTATACAGAAAGACACTTTTATAACTCCAAACATAATGTAATTATTTTTACTTTGGCACAACCATGTTTGCTACACGCTATGTATTTAAGTAAAGTGCTTGAGTTAATGGGAAAAGACAAAGCATATTGCTAAGCAATTCTTTGAATCCTGTGCCTGAGATTAGGTCAGAAATACAGAAAATTCATTACATCTGTGAGGGAACTACACACAAAATAATCTGATACTTAAGAGTCACATGACCAACTTCATACGTAGCAAGCCACACTATTTTCTGGCAAGTACTGATATTCAAATATAATGTTATTGGATCAGTACATTAGAGGATTACGGAGGAACAAATTCTATATTGCATAGGTAAAAATGACATTACTAAAGTACTCCAAGAAGGTTCTAGATTTCTACTGATGCCTATTTATTCATTTTGCCCAGCAACCCTTATGAACAGCAACATATATTTTCAGGTATTTTGAGGGATAGGCTGTACTCATGTAACAATGCTAAAAATTGATCTATATGTGGTCATTGAACCTATGACTCTTATCTCAGTACATCTTTCTAACCAATTGTAAGTGTAGCTGAACTACATAATTACTAGAGTGGCTACTTATCTCAGTATGACCAACAGCCTCACTGTCAACCCACTGAAAATTCCATTAACACAAGGAAATTAATTCATGTCACAAAACAATCCTTAATTATAAAACAAATTAATTCTAGGATGTTACTGTCCAGAAAGTAAACTATAGAATATTGTTCCTCTAAAGTAAATTTTTACATTTTAAATGACAGATCTGGAATTTCTATAGAGGGTTTTAAATTATGGGCCTTCTCCCTTTAATCACATCTATTTCCTGGGGTAGGAATACGACATGAATAGTCTATAAAACCAAAATTTATAATATTTATATACTAAGAAGAACACGTGGGTTTTCTGCTGAGAAAAAACTAAGGCAGACTGTTCAAGGATACTTGGGTATTGATTCTACTTTCTCCTTGGGCTTTGCCATCTGCTATGGTCTGAAGGTCGGTATCCCTGAAAATTTCTTACGTTAAAATCCAATACATATCCAAACAGATAGTACTCAGAAGTTTTGCCTTTGGGAAGTGAGCAAGTCATGAGGGCTCTGTCCTCATGAAAGGAATTAGTGCCCTTATAATAGAGGCTGAAGGGAGCTGTCCTTCCCTGTATTTCACCATGTGAGGATGTAGTAAGAAGGCACCATCTTTGAAGTAGACAGCAATTCCTTACAAGACACTGAATCTGCTCTTGCCTTGATCTTGGTGTTCCCTGCCTCCAGAACTGTAAGAAATAATTTTCTAATGATTATAAATTACCCAACCTCAAGTATTTTGCTTTGGCAGCCTGAAGAAACTAAGATATCATCATAACAATAACTGATTCCAAAACTAGGACAGCTCTATGCTTTGAGTACCCATACAACCATTCTGTTTTTCACTTTCAGTATAGTATTCAAGAAATTACACTTTATTATAAGATAGTTTTGTGTTAGATTTTGCCCAGCCATAGGATAACTTAAGTATTCTGAGCACATTTAAGCTAGGCTAGGTTAAGCTATGATATTCAGTAGGTTAGGTATGTTAAACGCATTTTCAACTTATGATGCATTTATTAGGATGTAGCTTCATTGTAAGTTGAAAAGCATCTGTATAATATTGTACTGAGTGAAATGTCCAATGAAATAGTATAGTTTATATTGACTGATTTTGATTAAAAATAAAAAGTGATAATATATGAAGGATGAAATTACAGGCAAATTTTAGCTCTTTATTTTGCTTATTTATAATTTCTGATTTTCCTAAAATAAACATGTTAGATAATTGTCCAGTTGCTAAATGATGAATACTTAAAGTAGTGGCAGAAGATATGAATGAGAAAGAACAAATTAGAGACAGACTTAGGAATAGCATCTGTAAGACTTGATGACTAAGAGGACAGGTATCATTCAGGGGATAAAAGGAAGAAGTCAAGGAAAATTAAGTTTCTCCTTTCAATGATTGAGTAGATACTATTGGTAATAATCAGAAAAGAGAAAGCAACAGGAAGAACATACTTCATTTTATACTCTCGATGGTATCTCACACAGGAAAAACCTAAAAATTGGGAGCACTAAAATTTAAACAAAGGGGACAACAGGATTAAATTACAAGAGCAAAATAAAAAGAAACTTAAATATAACCAAAGGTAAATTAGAAATCACAAAAACATATCCCTTTTTTAAAAAGAAGACTCTTATATAAGAAGACTTTTTATAATTATGAGTAATTATGTGGAATCACCTAATGCTCATTGCTAGAGACGAGATTTTGCCCCAAAACTATAGCCCATAAAAAGGAACCAAAAACTTTTAGACTCTATTTTTAAGAGTATCAAAGTAATGAATAGGCAGGGCGCGGTGGCTCATGCCTGTAATCTCAGCATTTTGGGAGGCTGAGGCGGGTGGATCACCTGAGATCAGGAGTTTGAGACCAGTCTGGTCAACATGGTGAAACCCCGTCTCTACTAAAAATACAAAAATTAACTAGGTGTCGTGACATGCGCCTGTAATCCCAGCTACTCAGGAGGCTGAAGCAGGAGAATCGCCTGAACCCAGGAGGCGGAGGTTGTAGTGAGCCAAGATCGCACCATGGCACTCCAGCCTGGACGACAGAGCAAGACTCTGTCTCAAAAACTAAACAAAGTAATAAATAACTGAGGTCCAGAATTGTGGAAAGTGCCCTAAGATACCCAGATTCCAAAGAGAACACAGTTTTAATGGTAATGTTCTACATGTTTGTCCTGTTTCAGAGGAATGAGTAAGAGTTAAACAGCTGATACTTCTCTTTTGTCTTACTATCCCTGTTAGAGATAAACTCAGAACGACATACGAATTTAGTTCCTGTATTTAAACTGAACATCATTCCAGTCTGCTGCTTTCTTAATTTGTTGTGCAAATTAAGAGTTTATATTAAACTGTGCAGCCCACCATTTATATTAAATATTCTCTATTATTCAATCAATGGTAAATATATACTTAGAATAGATATTTTATAAATATCTGGGGGGATAAAACATAGTTTAACTGCTCACTTTATACTCAAACTTTGGAGAACAACATTTGATTTCTTAGCCATAAATATATAACATTATTCTCTGGAAATATTTCTCCAAGAACTAACAATATAAAAACTTTTCTATGAAAACTATAAAGCATTGCTGATAAAGTACACAATACCTTTTAAATTACGGTTTTCAGGAAATCTAGCTTATATTGACATTAGAACTTTTTTCTAAGCACTTCTTTTTACATTATTCAAAATAAATATGTTAATTTAAAAAATGATGATTTCAGAAAACAAATGCGCAAGTAGATAACTGAATACAAATAAACTTGTTTGCTAATTTAGAAAACATAGCTGTTCCCTTAAAACAAAATTTCCTTAGGAGTCACTAAATTTACTTCCATGAATATAAAAGTGATTCAGAATAACAATGTTGATTAAAAAATCAATAAAATTTCTAAAAAATATAACAATATGTCATATTCAGGTAAAAACTGAATATGAAAAAAAAAACCAAGCAAATTGCTACCTAGTCTAGTT